>NT_167248.2:3044011-3310650 GCF_000001405.40 Homo sapiens
GGCCATTGTATGTTATGTGTATTTAACAGAACTGTTGGCTGGACGAAGTGGCTCATGCCTGTCATCCTAGCACTTTGGGAGACCGAAGCGGGAGGATCACAAGGTCAGGAGCTCGAAACAAGCCTGACCAACATGGTGAAACCCCGTCTCTACTAAAAATACAAAAATTAGCCAGGTGTGGTGGCATGCGCCTGTAATCCCAGCTACTCAGAAGGCTGAGGCAGGAGAATCGCTTGAGCTCAGGAGGCAGAGGTTGCAGTAAGCGCGCATCACTGCACTCCAGCCTGGGAAACCGAGAGAGACTCTGTCTCAAAAAAACAAAAAAAACAAAAAAAAAAACAGGCCAGGCGCGGTGGGTCACGCCTGTAATCCCAGCACTTTGGGAGGCCGAGGTGAGCAGATCATGAGGTCAAGAGATCGAGACCATCCTGGCCGACAGGGTGAAACCCTGTCTCTACTAAAAAAAATACAAAAAATTAGCCAGGCGTGGTGGCGGGCGCCTGTAGTCCCAGCTACTCAGGAGGCTGAGGCAGGAGTATGCTGTGAACCTGGGAAGCAGAGCTTGCAGTGAGCCAAGATTGCGCCACCGCACTCCAGCCTGGGCGACAGAGAGAGACTCTGTCTCAAAATAATAATAATAATAATAAAAATAAAAAAATAAAACATATAACTGTTTTCCTAGCTCTCAGTTACTTGCAAAATGCACAATCAAACATTATATTCCCAGTGCTCAGAGCAGAGGTGGCACATAGTTGGGCCCAGTAAATATTTTTTGACCACATTAATTTAGTACATAAGACACCAGAAAAAATTCTCAAAATTTAAATATAATAAACCCTGGTTTCCAAAAATGGTAAAGTTATTTTAAAATACTTTTTAAAAAGATTTGTCACCTAGAATATTACTTTGTATTTATCACTAATTAAAATATTAACAGTGAAAACAAATAGTAACAGAAAACAGGAGAAACATTTACAATTAACAGGAAAACTACCACACAATAATACAACAAAAACATTTACAATATTTAACAAAAAAATTGATACCCAGAACAGGTAAAGAATTCTCAAAAAAAAAATTAAAAAGAAAAAGAACGAAGAATCAATAGAAAAACGGGGAAAAGATAGATACAGACAATTCACATATGGGTAAACCTGACTGGCCAAAAAACATGAAAATAGGCACAACTTCAATAGCAATCAGAAAGGTACAAAGTAAAACAACAGAGGTATTTTTTTGCCCATCAGATTGGCAAAACTAATTAGGCAACCCTAATGCTCAGGCTTAGCAAGGGTGGGGAAATGAACACTCTCACAGCAATTCCTGGAGGTATCAATCAGCAAAGCCATTCTGCAGGGCAACTTGGCAGCTTCCGTTTGTACTTAATATAGGTGTGCCCCTGCCGACCTAGCAGTTTCACTTCTTGATAGCTACACCAGCGAAACCCTTCCACACATGCTTCAGCAAGCATATAGAGCAGGGGTATCCAATCTTTTGGCTTCCCTGGGCCACATGGAAGAATTGTCTTGGGCCACAGATAAAATACACTAACACTGGCTGGGAGCAGTGGCTCACGCCTGTAATCCCAGCACTTTGGGAGTCCGAGGCGGGCGGATCACGAGGTCAGGAGATCGAGACCATCCTGGCTAACATGGTGAAACCCCGTCTCTACTAAAAATACAAAAAAAAAATTAGCCGGGCGTGGTGGTGGGCACCTGTAGTCCTAGCTACTTGGGAGGCTGAGGCAGGAGAATGGCGTTAACGTGGGAGGCGGAGTTTGGAGCTTGCAGTGAGCCGAGACTGTGCCACTGCACTCCAGCCTGGGTGACAGTGCAAGACCCGTCTCAAAAAATAAATAAATAAATAAATAATAAAAATAAATTTAAAAAAATACACTAACACTAACGATAGCTGATGAGCTAAAAAAAAAAAATCGCAAAAAAATTCTTAAATGTTTAAACAAAGTTTACAAATTTGTGTTAGGCTGCATTCAAAGCCGTCCTGGGCCGCATGTGGCCCACAGGCTGCAGGTTGGACAAACTTGATATACAGGGATGTGCATTAGAGTAAGGTTTTCAACAGAAAAAAAACAAAAAACAAAAAACAGAATGAATCATTAATTAAAAAGTGACTCCAGGCCGGGAGCAGTGGCTCACGCCTGTAATCCCAGCACTTTGGGAGGCCGAGGCAGGCAGATCACCTGAGGTCAGGAGTTTGAGACCAGCCTGGCCAACATGGTGAAACCCCATCTCTACTAAAAATACAAAAATTAGCCAGGCGCGGTGGCAGGTGCCTGTAATGCCAGCTACTTGGGAGGCTGAGGCAAGAGAATCGCTTGAACCTAGGAGGTGGAGGTTGCGGTGAGCCGAGATCATGCCACTGTACTCCAGCCTGAGCAAAAAGAGTGAAACTCTGTCTCAAAAAAAAAAAAAAAAAAAAAAAAAAAAGAATGACTTCACTATGGTACAGCCACACTATGAGATATTATGGAACAATTAAAAAGAAGGAAGTCAGTATGTGTGGTATGTGTGTAAGGACAAGGAAAGATCTCCAAGAGAAAGTATTAAGTGTAAGAAGAAAGCTAGATCATAACAAGTGTAATATGAACCCTTTATGTTAAAAAATAGAAAAGACTCACCCAAAAGGAGAACTATAAATTTCTATGGGTACGTGTATATGTAAGTAAATAGGAAAGATCTGGGAAGATACACATCAAAGTGATAACAATGGCTAAATCTTAGGAGGAAGTAGGTGTGGAGGGGGATGGTCAAGGAGATTTGAAACTTTAAATTTCTTACAAGAATATATTCATATATTTTGGTCAGTTGTGGTGGCGCATTCCTGTAATCCCAGCTACTTGGGAGGCTGAGGCAGGAGAATCACTTGAACCCAGGAGGCAGCGGTTGCCATGAGCCGAGATGGCGTCACTGCACTCCGGCCTGGGCAACAGAACAAGACTCTGTCCCCCCAAAAAAAAATATATATATTCATATGTTCCTAATTAAATTCAAAATAATGTTATTGTTACTAGAAAAAGAAGGGAGAGACTGGGTGTGGTGCCTCACACCTATAATCCCAGCACTCTGGGAGTCTGAGACAGGAGAATCACTTGAGCCAGGAGTTGGAGACCAGACTGAGCAACAAAGTGAAAACTCATCTTTACAAAAAATTAAATTAAATTAAATTAAAATTAAATAAAGAAAGAAGGGATAGAAGAGAGTCTGCAAGTGGCGGTGTTGCATGGGAGTACTGGACTAGGAGAGGAAGCTAAATGATCAGATTGGAATGACAGAGAGAAGTGTAGCACCACTGGGGGCAGAAGTGAGCACCAACCCAGAAGGAGAGAGGCTCGGGGGGCTGTCAGGGAAAAGGAGAGAGCCAGACTAGGCAGAGGGAACCAGAGGAAGGTGCAGATAGAAGCTCACCATCGAGTCAGGGAGTCCTGGATGGCGTTGGTGAGTGCATGGCCCAGGTGCAGGGAGCCTGTCACATTGGGGGGTGGGATGCACATCATGAAGACACCTCGGGGATTTGCTGCTGACACATTAGGACGCTGATGGTGGAGAAGGATGGCACATGTTTAAGGCCTCAGGTCACCTCTCCCAGCCCCTCCCAGGCAACACATCCTTCAGTCCTGCCCTTCCCCACCCCACCCACTCTGGGCCTGGGCAGCAGTGCCTACTCACCCCATACTCTGGCTTGAAGAAGCCCTGCTGCTCCCACCAAGGGTACCAGGCAGCCTCCACATACCGAGGGCTGTAGGAGTCGGGCATGGGGCCACTGACATCTGGGGGAGAGGAAGGGAGGGCTCAGTGCCGTGGCTGGGAGCACTCTGGGAAGGAGACGTGCTGGCAGAGAGGGATCGGGATCTCCGTCACTCACATCATAGGACAGGCATTTGAGGGGCCTAGAGGCAGGGCAGGGGGTCTGCAATTCCTCACCAAACAAAGTGGTGAGAGCAAGAATAGAGCAAGATAGGGTGAAAACTTAGAAGGGGCTGCTGAGGGGTGAGCCCCTTCCCACTCCTAGTACCTTTCTTTTCCCCGGGTGGGGTTGGGAGGTCATAGGTAATGACCCCAGGATCCCGTTTCTCCCTCTTCTCTGGTTTTGGTTTCTTCTGCTTGGGAGGGAGAAGACATAGGCCCAGGCATCAGCCAACCCATCACCGCACACATCAACTTTCCTTCCAGCTCCACCCTCGCCTCACCTCCCCTGGAGGTGGCTGCTGCTGTTGGATCTTCTGCTTCTGTTGGAATTTCTCTAGCTTCTCCCGTTTCTTTGCCTCTTTCTTGAGCTGAGCAGCTGTCTTTGGGAGGGCAGGAGCCTCGGGGCCTAGAGAGAGGTGCAGAAATTCAGACTCAGCCAGCTGGGGACCCTCTTGGACGGCCATACTAGGTTTCAGATGGGGTATTTTAGATGCCCGAGGTCTTGCCCATGCTGACCTCCCCCCTCTCCCTCCTCTCCCGCAGGACCCTGCCCCAGTGATTCTGCCATTTCTAGGAAAAAAAGAAAGTGAGTTGCATGGAAGGCCCCAGGGAAGCCCCTATCCTCCAACTCCTCGCCCTTCCTCACCTGGCTGATGAGAGAGAGGCCTGGCTCCTGAGTATAGAACCACTTCTCCTAGCACGGCTCGGAATTCTGGCTGCCGGACACACGTGACAAACCAGCGAGTCACATTATTCCAGATCCGGCGGGCAGGTGGGTCTAGGACCTGGAACAGGAAATAAATGACTCTTCTCAGTCACCCTACAGTGAGGTCTGAGGAGAGCAGTCTTGTTCTTCCCCAGGCCTGGTGACTCACGTATCGGAAAGGCAGCAGCAAGGCTGTGACAGCCGCCAGGTCAGCCAGAGTGGGGGCCTCCCCGGCCAAGTAGGTGTGCAGCCGAAGCCACTCCTCCAAGGGGCTCAGGGCCCTGCCCAGGGCCCCCAGCACAGCCTGGCAGGAAGGGGAAGAAGTGTGAGACAAGGTTTGGCCCACCTCCATCTCCCACCACAACCCAATCCATGTGGCCTCCCTCCACCCCACTCTCACAAATCACCACCTCTGAGTCCCATTTCTTCACTCAAATAGTCACAATAAAAATACTTCTGGGCGGATCACGAGGTCAGGAGATCGAGACCATCCTGGCTAACATGGTGAAACCTCATCTCTACTAAAAATACAAAAAAAAAATAGCCAGGCGTGGTGGCGGGCGCCTGTAGTCCCAGCTACTCGGGAGGCTGAGGCAGGAGAATGGCATGAACCCAGGAGGTGGAGCTTGCAGTGAGCCGAGATCACGCCACTGCACTCCAGCCTGGGCAACACAGCGAGACTCCGTCTCAGAAAAAAAAAAACAAAACACTTCTGACTCATCCAACAAATCCCTACTCAATACTTATGTGTTAGATGCAATATGTTAAGCATAGAAGTAAAGATTATATGAGGCATCTCAATAACTGCCAGGTTCAGAACATCAATAAATATGTATTAAGTACTTCTCCAGGGAATGAGAGGAAAACACGAACAGATGGACAGAACCCTGACCTGGTAGAGTTAACATTCTTGTAGGGGAACAACAAATGAGCAAATATAAAATGAAGTGCCCTATTTTTCTTAACTCCTATGAAGAAAAATAAAGCAGAATGAGGGGAACAGGGGCCAGGCGTGGTGGCTCACACCTATAATCTCAGCACTTTGGGAGGCCGAGGCGAGCAGACCATCTGAGGTTAGGAGTTCGAGACCAGCCTGGTCAACATGACAAAACCCCATCTCTACTAAAAATACAAAAAATTAGCCGGACAAGGTGGTGGGCGCCTGTAATCCCAGCTACTCAGAAGGCTGAGGCAGGAGAATCGCTTGAGCAGTGAGCTGAGATCGCACCATCGCACCGTGGCACTCCAGCCTGGGCAACAGAAGGAGATTCCGTCTCAAAAAAAAAAAAAAAAAAGAAAAGAAAAGAAATAAAAGAGGGGAACAAACAGGGAATTCCAGAAGAGAGGGACTCTATTTTATTTGTTTGTTTGGACAGACATTCTGAATGCAAGGACTCTATTGTAGATAGGGTGATCACAATATGAGGGAGCAAGTCAGGGTCTGCCACATTCATTCATCCATTCAAGAAATACTAATTTTCCATCATGTGCTCAATACCATGCAAGGAGGCAGAGTTGAAAGTACACCAAGGCACAGGTCTCCTTTGGAAGGACTGATAGTTACAATCTGGCAGGGTTATCTCTCCTCTCACTTACCTTCCTCATTTCATTTCTCTTTTATCTCCTCCCAGCAATTGTCATCTCTCCCTCACCCAGTCTTTTCCTACAATTCAAATAACTTCTATCCTCATCAATTTCAGACTCATCAAACTTTTACTAAGAGACTTTAAAAGTGCCTGGCACTAAACTATGTGCTCTGCGCACATCTTTTAATCCTATTAACTCAGTGAGGCAAGCATTACATCAACTTGCCTGCGTGTTCATAGACATAGGAAGACCAAGACACAGCGGGTCTATGAAACGTGCCCAGGGTTACCATACCAGTTGGCAATCTGGGATTTGATCACTCTTTTCCCACATCTGATGTACTACCTTCTTGTCTCATTGTCCATTCCAGTCCTCGCTTCCCTCCTCTGAATTTCTCCCCTCCCCCTCTTCTGTACAACCCCCTCACCTGGGGGTCCTGGGCCGAGCTTCGGAGTCCCAGGGCCGGCAGCGTTGCTCCACAGGCAGCTGGTATTAACTCCGTGTCGGCGTAACTGACCCACTGTTGGACAAGGACAGCCGCCCGGCTGCCCCCTGGGCCCCCCAGGCCTGCTGGCCACAGCAGCTGGGCCACAGCCGTGGCCCCCCACACCCAGAGCCCACCGGGCCCCTGCTCCAGGGCCGGCAGGCGGGGTGGGGGAAAGGGAGTCCTGCTAGTCGGGGGTGGCTGGAGACAGATGCGGGGGTGGGCTCCTCCCCATCCGGGACCCTCCCCAGCCTCCCCATAGCGAGCGGCTATGAGGGCTCGGAGGCTGGGGAAGGCATCTGGGTGAGGGGAGACGTAGAGGGTGGACATAGTTATGAGAAGGTCCGAACGAAGTGGAAAAACCTAAGGAGAAAGAGAGACAGGGGAAGACTGCGGGATCGAGGTGGGTCCTATGTTTGAGTAGAGAGGGGACCCTCACGGGAGCTCCTTCGCCGCAGACACCCGAGTCCCATAGGACTGAGGGTCTGACCAGGCAGGCTGTCAGGAGCCGAGGACCTGGCTCTCAGAGGGGCAGTGTCAGTGGGGAGTTCCTGGGGAAGAGGAACTATCCACCATCGCGGGGCTTCGGGGAGTGTGGAAGGCTCTCAGGAGCGGGTCGGCGTCTGGTTGGATGCGGGTTCGAGCCGCGTGTACGTACTGGAGGGAGATGGTCAGACTGGGCCGGGAATCCACCTCACAGCCAGGCGCCGGCCGCGGCTGGACCGGCCGAGCGGCCCGGGCGGAGGAGTCGAGCGGGCAGAGACGGTGGGCGGCTCTCCAGGTGACCCTAGTTCCCTAAGATCGCCGCCCCGGCAGCCGGCGCCCACGTGTTCCCCCCTTTGTGACAGGGAGCGTTTCCGGGCCTGCGGGTCCTGGCGGGGGCGGCCGTGCCCCGCCTGCGAGTGCGCGCCCGCCGTGTCCGACACTGCCCCGGGGGCCGCGCGGCTCGCCGCCCGCCGGTCTCACGAGGAACAGCGCGGGGCGCGGGGCGCTGGGCGCGGACGCAGGACGAGAGGACACCCCTGAGCACGACGCTCCCGTCAGGCGCCGCCACGGGCACCTTGTGCGGGTCCTCGGCCGGGTGGCGAGGGCGGCGCCCAGCGGGCAGCTAGGGAACTGGCCCAAGAGGGTCGGCCGGCCCTGCCGGTGGAGGGCGTTCCCCACCCGGTAGCGGGGAGGTGCCCAGCAGGGAGCCGCCTGATGAGGACCGAAGGGGAGGTCCATTTGCCGAGGCCCTGGCGTCCAGCTTCCTCTTTGAGCCTCATCTCCTCATGTATCAAAAAAGGGTGACGGCCGGGCGCAGTGGCTCACGCCTATAATCCCAGCACTTTGGGAGGCCGAGGTGGGCGGATCACCTGAGGTCAGAAGTTCAAGACTAGCCTGGCCAAGGTGGTGAAAGCCCGTCTCACGCCTGTAATCCCAGCACTCTGGGAGGCCAGGGCGGGTGGATCACCAGGTCAGGAGTTCAAGACCAGCCAGGCCAAGATGGTGAAACCCCGTCTCTACTAAAAATACAAAAATTAGCCAGGTGTGGTGGCAGGCGCCTGTAATCCCAGCTACCCCGGAGCCTGAGGCAGGGAATTGCTTGAACCCTGGAGGTTGAGGTTGCAGTGAACTGAGATCGTGCCACTGCACTCCAGCCTGGCGACAGAGCTGCAGTATTTGTAAAAATACAAAAATTAGCCAGGCGTGGTGGCACACACCTGTAAGCCCAGCTACTTGGGAAGCTGAGGCAAGAAGATCACTTGAACCTGGGAGGCGGAGATTGCAGAGCTAAGATCACACCACTGCAGTCCAGCCTGGGTGACAAAGTGAGACTCCATCTCAAAAAAAAAAAAAAAAAAAAAAATTAGCCGGGCATGGTGGTGGGCATCTGTAATCCCAGCTACTCAGGAGCTGTGGCAGGAGAATCGCTTGAACCGGGAGGCGGAGGTTGCAGTGAGCCAGACCAAGCCAGTGCACTCCACCCTGGGCAACAGAGTGAGACTCCCGTCTCAAAAACAAAAAGGAGGGTCACACTAGATGGTCTCTAAGGGTCCCTTAAGGCTGAGAAGTCTCATCTGTATCATGAACTCATATTTGCTGAATGAGTGAATGAAGTTTAGTAATTCCCAGTCACAACTTTTCTCTAAAATATAAATTACATCACTTGTATTTATCTTCTATACATATTCAGAAAACATGAACTGATTTGGTTGGATTGGTGAAGTCTGGTAGCATGAAATGTATCTTACGACACTATCACATTAATGGAAGGACAGCAAGCACTCCAGTTGCAGGTATGGTATAAGCAAAAGGCCACAGGGAGAACATACAGGTAGGGACATGTTGGGGAAACATGGTGTAGAGCAACTGTATTATATGCTTTATACCAAGGAGAGTAGTGGGAAGCTGAGTTGGATTCTTGGCTGGGTTAACGCAGAGTAACAGGGGCTTGGATGAATTCGACATCCTTTTCCATGTCCCAGCCCCCTGCCCAACACATAGTAACAGAACCAAAACACAAATTTGCATCATAAATTTTATTCCCGATGCGGGACAGATTCCTTCCATCCCCAAATGAATCACATGCTGCCCTGGAAAGACCTAGGAAACTCTCCTACCATCTCCAGAGAAGTAGTGAGAAAGGCAGGTGCTGGGGACTGGGAAGGCTTTGAAGTTTCCCAGCCTACTTATCCTCCCCTTCTCAAGAGAGGATAGCTGTTCCCTATTACTCCTCTCATCCACTCATCCCTTAAAAAAAACCCACAAAACCATCATTAGTAAAAAAACAAAACCCCTTCAAGTATTGGGGGTTAGGGGTTCTGGGCTGGGACTTGGGGTTATGGGTCACCAATGAAAGAGGGAGGGGAAGAGGAGGAGGAGCCATCACTGTTTCTGCTGCAGGGCTTCCTTCCTTGCCGCATCCTGTAGCAACTGTGTGTCGACCTCATCTGCTGGCAGCTGCACGTATCGGACCACTGAGCCCCGAATGAAGCAGTTCTTCACTGATAACTAGACAAAGATGGACAAATATGAAAACACCCTTAAAAATGTCCTCTAACCACCCAGGGGCCTCCTGCTTTAGAGGTGTTTCCTCTTCTCCACAGACCCCAACTCACCATGTGAGGGTATTTCTCAGGGTCTGTGACACTGATGTCAGTTAGTTTGATGTTGAGATACTAGGAAAGGAAGATGAACACCATTATTATTATTATTTTTTTTTTTTGAGACAAGAGTTTTGCTCTTGTTGCCCAGGCTGGAGTGCAATGGTGCCATCTCGGCTCACTGCAATCTCCGCCTCCTGGGTTCAAATGATTTTCCTGCCTCAGCCTCTCGACTAGCTGGGATTACAGGTGCCCACCACCACGCCCAGCTAATTTTTTGTATTTTTAGTAGAGACGGGGTTTCACCATGTTTGTCAGGCTTGTCTTGAACTCCTGACCTCAGGCCTCGGCCTCTCAAAGTGCTGGGATTACAGGCGTGAGCCACCGTGCCTGGCCGACGAACACCATTATTAACCCTAGAGACATGATGTAAGAACCCAACCCTTAAGTCTCCCCTCTCCTTCTCCAGGAACCAATTCTGGGGCCCGTGCTATATCTCACCTGATCCACAGAATGGAGGGTTCCACAGATGCTGTCAAGGGCAGAGGGAGAGAAGAATCAAATTAGTTTATAACAAAGTCAACATAGAGGTGACTTCAGAGCTGGGATGAGAACATGACTGGGAGAAGTCAAGGACTTGAGGATGTCAGAAAAGGTAGAACCAAAAGGGGGCATTCCTAAGCCCTGGAGTAGGAAAGACAACTAACAGAGTAGTTTATTTTCAACCCCACATCTCCTCTCCCTAAACCAATCCATTCTTTTTTTTTTTTTTTTTTTTTTTGAGATGGAGTCTCACTGTCAGCCAGGCTGAAGTGCAGTGGTGTGATCTTGGCTCACTGCAACCTCTGCCTCCCAGGTTCAAGCGATTCTCCTGCCTCAGTCTCCTGAGTAGCTAGGACTTCAGGCGCATGCCATCATGCCCGGCTAATTTTTTATTTTTAGTAGAGATGGGGTTTCACCATGTTGGCCAGGCTGTTCCTTAACTCCTGATCTCAGGCGATCTGCCCACTTCAGCTCCCCAAAGTGCTGGGATTACAGGTGTGAACCACTGTCCCCGGCCAAACCAACCTATTCTTAACAGCTACCATTAAACAACTGGTAAAGGCTAGACCTGTATTCTATATAGTATTTGTAATCTTTACAGCCATCTTTCAAAGTAGTTATTACCTTCCAGGGGCTCAGAGAGGTTGTTTTAAACTTTATGAGTTTAGAACAAATGGGAACTTCAGTCCAAGTCTGTGTGACTCCCAAAACCATCAGCTATTTTTTTTTTATTTTTGCGACAGGGTCTCACTCTATGGCCAAGGCTGGAGTGAAATGGCGTGATCATGGCTCACTGTGGCCACTTGAGTAGCTGTGATTACAGGCTTGAGCCACCATGCCCAGCTGATTTTTTTTTGAGATGGAGTCTCGCTCTGTCGGCCAGTCTGGAGTGCAGTGGCACAATCTCGGCTCACTGAAAGCTCCATCTCCCAGGTTCACGCCATTCTCCTGCCTCAGCCTCCCGAGTAGCTGGGACTACAGATGCCGGCCACCACTCCTGGCTAATTTTTTGTATTTTTAGTAGAGACGGGGTTTCACCGTGTTAGCCAGGATGGTCTCGATCTCCTGACCTCATGATCTGCCCACCTCAGCCTCCCAAAGTGCTGGGATTACAGGCATGAGCCACCATTCCCGACTTTTTTTTTTTTTTTTTGTAGAGAAAGGGTCTCACTGTGAATGTCACCCAGGCTAGCTATTTTCAAACATTTATTGCTTTGGAACCAGAGCCCATATGTGGATAAAGGTAGGTAGCATTACTCTTGATGATGCAGGCATGAGTGATGTCCTCTCCATTCCCCAATCCTCGAGCCCCTTGAAATGCTATTTGAGGAATGCTATCAAAACACCAGTGCTCTTTGAGAGAATGGTGCAAAAATTTAAAAAAACAGCCTTTGGCTGGGAATGGTTGTTCACGCCTATAATCCAAGCATTCTGGGAGGCTGAGGCAGGAGGATCGCCTGAAGCCAGCTGGAGAACAGCCCAGACAACATAGCAAGACCTCATCTCTATTTTAAAGTTATAAAATAAAATAACTGTGGCCGGGCACGGTGGCTCACGCCTATAATTCCAGCACTTAGGGAGGACGAGGCGGGCGAATCACGAGGTCAGGAGTTCGACACCAGCCTGGCCAACATCGTGAAACCCCATCTCTACTAAAAATACAAAAAATTAGCTGGGCATAGTGGCAGACGCCTGTAATCCCAGCTACTCGGGAGGCTGAAGCAGGAGAATCACTTGAACCCGGGAGGTGGAGGTTGTAGTGAGGCGAGATCGAGCCACTGCACTCCAGCCTGGGTGACAGAGTGAGACTCCATCTCAAGAAAAATAAATAAATAAAAATAATCGTAATAAATAGCAGTTTTAAAAACGTCCTTATCTTGCCAAAAATAAAGTTGGCAGTTCTCTGCCCCAATTTTTGTAAAATTCTGAAAGTCTTTAAAACCCAGCGTCTAGGCCATGTGCGGTGGCTCATGCCTATAATCCCAGAACTTTAGGAGGCCAAGGTGGGCGGATCACTTGAGGCCAGGACTTCAAGACCAGCCTGGCCAACACGGCGAATCCCCATCTCTACTAAAAATACAAAAATTGGCCGGGCGTGGTGGCTCACGCCTATAATCTCAGCACTTTGGGAGGCCGAGGCGGGTGGATCACGAGGTCAGGAGATCGAGACCATCCTGGCTAACACGGTGAAACCCCGTCTCTACTAAAAATACAAAAAATTAGCCGGGCATGGTGGCGGGCACCTGTAGTCCCAGCTACTTGGGAGGCTGAGGTAGAAAAATGGCGTGAACTGGGAGGCAGAGCTTGCAGTGAGCGGAGATCACACCACTACACTCCAGCCTGGGTGACAAAGCAAGACTCCGTCTCAAAAAAAAAAAAATACAAAAATTAGCTGGGCATTGTGGTGTGCACCTGTAATCCCAGCTACTCAGGAGGTGAGGCACGAGAATCACTTGAACCCAGGAGGAAAAAAAAAATTTAAAAATAAAATATAAAAATACAAAGATTAGCTGTGTGTGGTGCATGCCTGTAGTCCCAGGTATACAGGAGGCTGAGGCACGAGAATCATTTGAACACAGGAGGTAGAGGTTGCAGTGAGCCAAGATCATGCCACTGCATTCCAGCCTCGGTGACAGAGTAAGGATCTGTCTCAAAAAAAAAAAAAAAAAAAAAAAGACCCACTTAAATATGCTCTAGGAAATTAATTTAAATGAACTAGTACTAGGCAATCATTATTTTTTTTGAGACAGAGGGTGAGTCTCTGCCTAATAACAAAAACAAAAACAAACACCCAGTATCTGAAACCCACTGCCTCAGTAATGTTCTCACCATATTGCTAGCTGCTGAAAAACATTTGACAGCACCCCACCATCTCCAGCAGTGAAATAACATTTGGGAATTGTACAAAGTGGTGTCATTTTATTAAGTCCCTTAAGGAGGGGGAGATACATAGCACAAAAGTGGTCTGACAACAAACATAAGAGAAAGAACTTTTGGCCAGGCGTGGTGGCTCACACCTGTGATCCCAGCACTTTGGGAGGCTGAGGCAGGAGGATCACTTGAGGTCAGGAGTTTGAGGCCAGCCTGGCCAACATGGTGAAACCCCATCCCTACTAAAAATACAAAAAATTAGCTGGGAGTGGTGGCATGCACCGGTAATCCCAGCTATTCGGGAGGCTGAGGTGGAAGAATCACTTGAACCCAGGAGGCAGAGGTTGCAGTGAGCCAAGATCGCGCCACCGCACTCCAGCCAGGGCAACAGAGTGAGACCCTGTCTCAAGGAAAAAAAAGGAGAAAGATCTTCTTTCTCATCCCAACAGAAAAGTCACTTTAAAGCCACACACATATTGGCTCACACCTGTAGTCACTGCACTTTGAGAGGCTGAGGTGGGAGGATCACTTGAGTCCAGGAGTTCAAGACCAGCCTGGGCAACACGGCCGAGACTCTGTCTCTATGAAAAATTTTAAAAATAATATAAAAAGGCCGGGTGCAGTGGCTCACGTCTGTAATCCCAGCACTTTGGGAGGCCGAGGCAGGTGGATCACGAGGTCAGGAGTTCAAGACCAGCCTGACGAAGATGGTGAAACCCGATGTCTACTAAAAATACAAAAATTAGCCAGGTATGGTGGCAGGCACTTGTAATCCCAGCTACTTGGGAGACTGAGGCAGGAGAATCACTTGAACCCAGGCAGCAGAGGTTGCAGTGACCCGAGATCATGCCACTGCACTCCAACCTGGGTGACAGAGTGAGACCCCATCTCAAACAAAAATAAATAAATAAATAGAAAAAAAAGAAGGCTGGGCGCAGTGGCTCACACCTGTAATCACAGTACTTTGGGAGGCCGAGGTGGGCAGATCACAAGGTCAGGAGATTGAGACCATCCTGGCCAACGTGGTGAAACCCCTTCTCTACTAAAAATACAAAAATTAGCTGGGCGTGGTGGTGCATGCATATAATCCCAGCTACTCGGGAGGCTGAGGCAGGATAATCACTTGAACCAGGGAGTCGGAGGTTACAGCACCACTGCACTCCAGCCTGGCGTAGACTCGACCAGAGCGAGACTCGTCTCAATAAAAAAAAGAAAAAAGAAAAAGAAAAGAAATGTTACTACGGCCGGGTGCAGTGGCTCACACTTGTAATCCCAGTACTTTGGGAGGCTGGGGTGGGCAGATCACGAGGTCAGGAGTTGGGAGACCAGCCTGGCCAACATGGTGAAACCCTGTCTCTACTGAAGATACAAAAAATGAGCCAGGCGTTGTGGCGCATGCCTGTAATCCCAGCTACCAGGGAGGCTGAGGCAGGAGAATCACTTGAACCCGGGAGGCAGAGGTTGCGGTGAGCCGAGATCACGCCATTGCACTCCAGCCTGGGCGACAGGGCAAGACTCTGTCTCAAAAACAAAATAAAATAAAAAAAATAAAGGTACTTTAGGGCCTAGGGTTATAACACAACAGTTAGGCTTCCCATGTAAAAGGCCCAGGAAGGAGAAAAGAGGAGAATCAAAAACAAGTCATCACACCAAATTGCCTAAGACTGATAGTGATTACCGTACTTGTCTTGCTCTGTGGCCCCAATCTATACACATCAATATCACTTGCATTGCCAGTGCTACAAATGGAAACCTGTGTTCTAAAACGCAAAGGCCCTTAAGTCCCTCTCCTCACCATTCCCTGCCCTGTCAACGTGTAACCCATGAAAAAATTATCTCACATAGAAATGTGGAAGACAGCCAGACACAGTGGCACACACCTGTAATTCCAGCACTTTGGGAGGCCAAGGTGGCAGGACTGCTTGAGCCCAAGAGTTTCAGACTAGCCTCGGCAACACAGTGAGACTCTGCCTCTCCAAATAATTAAAAAATTAGCTGGGCATGGTGGCATATAGCCCCAGCTATTCAGGAGGCTGAGTGAGCTATGGTGGTGCCACTGCACTACAGCCTGGACAACAGAGTGAGACCCCCATCTCAAAAAAATAAATGTGGAAGACGCTTTTGGGAAGAGAATACAATTGATCCCATCTTTCTAAAGGATAATGAGGTAACAGGTATCAATATTTTAAATGTACTTTTTTTTTTTTTTTGAGATGGAGTCTCAGTCTGTCGCCCAGGCTGGAGTGCAGTGGCCTGATCTCAGCTCACTACAACGTCCGCCTCCCGGGTTCATGTGATTCTCCAGCCTCAGGCTCCTGAGCAGCTAGGATTACAGGCGCACAACACAACATCTGGCTAATTTTTGTATTTTTAGTAGAGATGGAGTTTCACCATGTTGGCCAAGCTAGTCTCAAACTCGTGACCTCAGGCATCCACCCGCCTCGACTTCCCAAAGTGCTGGGATTACAGGTATGAGCCACCGCATCTGGCCTAAATGTACATATTATTTAAAGGACTGTACAGATAAGTACAGGGCCAGGTGTGCTGGCTCATGCGCGTAACCCCAGCACTTTGGGAAGCTGAAGCAAGAGGACTGCTTGAACTCAAAGAATTTGAAACCAGCCTGAGCAACAAAGTGAGGCACTGTCTCTAATTTTTAAATAAATAAATATTATTTTAAGAAAGAAAGTAGGACTAGGCGCAGTGGCTCACGCCTGTAATCCCAACACTTTGAGAGGCTGAGGCAGGTGGATCACAAGGTCGAGAGTTCAAGACCAGCCTGGCCTAGATGGTGAAACTCCATCTCTACTAAAAATACAAAATTTAGCCGGGCATGGTGGTGGGCACTTGTAATCACAGCTACTAGGGAGGCTGAGGCAGAGAATTGCTTGAACCCAGGAGGCAGAGGCTGCAGTGAGCCGAGATTACGCCATTGCAGTCCAGCCTAGGTGACAGACTGAAACTCCATCTCAAAAAAAAAAAAAAAGAAAGAAAAAAAGCTGGACAGAATCATATTTCAGTTGTGTCACTTACTAGTTTTGTAGACTTGAACAAGTGGTATAGCTGATCTAAGCCTCAGTTTCCTCGTGTAAAACAGCAATAGTATATATTACTTAGCAGTGTTTGAGAAATCAATCAATAAATGTATTCAGAATAGTGGTTAGTCAATACGTCTTCGGATATTATTTTTCTTTCTTTAAGCACCTATCATATAACTGGCCTATGCTAGGTATTAGATACACTACATGGTTTCACCATGTTGGCCAGGCTGTTCTCGCTCTCTTGACCTCGTGATCCACCCGCCTCAGCCTCCCAAAGTGCTGGGATTACAGGCATGAGCCATCGTGCCCAGCCTATGGCCTGTTCTTTTTTTTCTTTTTTTTTTTTGAGACGGAGTCTTGCTCTGTCACCCAGGCTGGAGTGCGGTGGCACCATCTTGGCTCACTGCAAGTTCCGCCTCCCAGGTTCACGCCATTCTCCTGCCTCAGACTCCCAAGTAGCTGGAACTACAGGAGCATGCCACCACGCCTGGCTAATTTTTTGTATTTTTAGCAGAGACAGGGTTTCACCATGTTAAACAGGATGATCTCAATCTCCTGACCTTGTGATCCGCCTGCCTCGGCCTCCCAAAGTGCTGGGATTACAGGCGTGAGCCACCGCGCCCGGCCTGGCCTGTTCTTTTTTTGAGACAGAGTCTTCCTCTGTCAACCAGGCTGGAGTAAAGTGATACAATCATGGCTCACTGCAGCCTTGACCTCCTGGGTTCAAGTGATCCTCCCACCTCAGCCTCCCGAATAGCTGAGACTACAGGCATGTACACTACACCTGGCTAATTTTTTATAGAAATAGAGGTCTCATCACTATGTTGCCCAGACTAGTCTCGACATCCTGGACTCAAGTGATCCTCCTGCCTCAGCCTCCCAAAGTGCTGAGATTACAGGTGTGAGCCACCATGGCCAGCCTAGTACTTACTTTTTTTTTTTTTTTGAGACAGAATCTCA
Organism: Homo sapiens; assembly: GCF_000001405.40. Classification (NCBI taxonomy): domain Eukaryota; kingdom Metazoa; phylum Chordata; class Mammalia; order Primates; family Hominidae; genus Homo; species Homo sapiens. Next base: position 3,061,216 of record NT_167248.2, read on the forward strand.
CTCTGTCACCCAGCTGGAGTGCAGCAGTGTGATCTCAGCTCACTGCAACCTCTGCCGCCCAGGTTCAAGCGATTCTCCTGCCTCACCCTCCCGAGTAGCTGGGATTACAGGCACCAGCCACCGTGCCCGGCTAATTTTTGTATTTTTAGTAGAGACAGGGTTTCACCATCTTGACCGGGCTGGTCTTGAACTCCTGACCTCGTGATTCGCCCACCTTGGCCTCCCAAAGTGCTGGGATTACAGGCATGAGCCACACGTCCAGCCCGTGAGCCACTGCGCCTGACCTGTATTTACTCTTTAAACTATATATTGCTTTGTATTGTTTTCCAATACACGATACAATCTCTAAGCTTATCTGTAAATTTAAGGCACAAGGCATTTATTTATTGCTAAATTTTAAAATTTTTCTTAGAGATGGGGTCTTGCTCTATTGCCTGGGCTAGAGTGCAATGGAGTAATCACTGCTCACTGCAGCCTCAAACTCCTGGGCTCAAGCTTTCCTCCTTCCTCAGCCTCCCAAAGTGCTGGGATTACAGGCTTGAGCCACTGCACCCTATCCATTTATTTCTTCTGTACATCTTCCACCTCGCCTAGCCCTGAAATATTTCTCAAATTAAAGAGGTTCCAGGGCCCTGGGCACACCCACCCCCAACAGACTTGTTGGAACAGGTACCTACCTCAGGTCATTCTTTAGTTCCACGACCACATCCTTGCCCACAAGGGACTTGAAAAAAGAATAGAAGAGCTATTGGGAGAGAGGGGGAAAACCATCATGTGGGAAGGAGCATGGTAGGGAGGAGTGTCCTTTGACAGTATTACCAAATACTGGTATTGTGAACCCCACTGCATCCCTGACAGTTCTCAAAATTTCACAGGAAAGAATAATTGGTTGACAGAGCTGAAAGGCTGGAGCCCAAATTATTCTGCACACTGCACTGAGCCCATCACTTAAAGTCCCAGAGAGACTCTGCCCTGCATACGTCGGCCTCCCCACTGTGCTCTCTCAGTCGACCACCTTTCTCGGGTACCTGCCCACTCCTTTCAATGAATTGTAGAAAATATCCCACCCGCACCCTGCCGAAGCTTGCCTGGCAGAGAAGTGCTCTGAGGTCTAACTTTTCCGTCTCCCGCTATCCTCACTGAATCTCTCTCAGGGTTGGGGTTTTTTCCCTCATCATGGAAAAAATATCCCATTTGTTCTCAGTGCCTCCTCAATGAACCTGAGAAACAGTACAGTACTAAAGATGAAGATAAAAACTCCGGACCTAACTCCAGCCTAGGGGTACAAAGGCCAGATCCCCCGCCCCAACCATGCGAGGTCCCCGAGGGCGCCCCCTTTTGACGTCACGGTACCCACCATGGTGCTGGCGCCGCGGGCAGCGGGCCGGACCGGGAAGACAGCAGGGTGCTGCGAGCAGGTCTGGGGAAACCGAAGCGCGAGCCCGCGCGTGGGGCGAGGCGGGACCGCGCAGGCGCAGCGGGAAGCGACGCAGAAAGCTCCAAGCGCTGACGGGCAAAGCGCGGCCGACTTGCGGCTGGGGAGCGCAAGCTGGGTAGAGTAGAGGGGAGGAGGAAGCCGGGAAAGGGGCGGGGTTTCCTTCATTCCGACTTCCTCCCTGGCCGGCCGGCTCCCATTGCGCAGGCGCGGACCCTAGCCTGGGCTGCCAGACGGGTGGCGGGACTCAGCGCCTGAGCTCAAAGGATTTTGTTCTTTTCCAGAATCCTGCCATCTACAGCGTGATGTGTTTGTGCCCTACACACACTTCCTATCGAGAATTGTGGGGAGTTTGTTAAGATTATGAAGTGTGCACTTTTCTATATTTGTTAAAGTAAAAACATAAAATTTAAAAAATAAAATTAAAAAATGTTTTGAATCTTAAATTCAGCTGATAAAAAGAAAAAAAGGCCGAGGGCCGTGGCTCAAGCCTTTAATCCCAGCACTCTGGGAGGCCTAGGTGGGTGGATTGTGTGAGGTCAGGAGTTCGAGACCAGTCTAGCCAACATGGTGAAACCCCATCTTCACTAAAAATACAAAAAAAATTAGGCGTGGTCGCAGGCTCCTGTAATACCAGCTACTCGGGAGGCTGAGGGAAGAGAATCGCTTGAACCTGGGAGGCGGAGGTTGCAGTGAACCGAGATCGCGCCACTGCACTGCAGCCTGGGCGACAGAGCAAGACTCCGTCTCAAAAAAAAAAAAAAAAAAAATGACCGGGAGCAGTGGCTCACACCTGTAATCCCAGCACTTTGGGCGGCCAAGGCAAGTGGATCGCCTGAGGTCAGGAGTTCGAGACCAGCCTGGTCAACATGGCGAAATTCTGTCTCTACTAAAAACCCAAAAATTAGCCGGGTGTGGTGGCACGCGCCTGTAAATCCAGGAGGCATAGGTTGCAGTGAGTGGAGATCTTGCCATTGCACTCCAGCCTGGGCAACAAGAGCAAAACTCCATCCCAAAAAACAAAAAATGTTGAGGCCTGTAAATCCCAGCATTTGGGGAGGCTGAGGCAGGAGGATCATTTGAACCCAAGAGTTACAGTGAGCTACAATCTCCCCACTGCATTCCAGCCTGGGTGACAGAGCGAGACTCTCTCTAGAAAAAAGAAAATTATAAACAAACAAACGTTGAGCAGTCCCAGAGATAAGGAGGAGCTGGAGCACAAATTTTGATTTTATCAAAGGTTACCAATAAATACATTTCTCCAAAGGAGCCAACCTCAATCTCCGCATTTCTTACACACTTTTGCCAAGACTGTCCTGTAAAGGACTGTGTAAAACTAAAGAGACTGTGGCTCACAGATACAAATAACCCAGTCTAACATTTCACTGTTAAATGTTTCAAACACAAACAGACAGAAATGCAGTTACATATTATTCTAACTCATATCCCCCAGGTTTTTATAAATATGTATTAGGACACAGGTAAAAGAAAAAAATGTTTTTGAGATGGAGTCTCGCTCTATCACCAGGCTGGAGTGTGGTGCCACGATCTCAGCTCACTGCAACCTCCACGTCCCGGGTTCAAGCGATTCCTCTGCCTCACCCTCCTGAGTAGCTGGGACTACAGGCACGCATCACCGTCCTCAGCTAATTTTTGTATTTTTAGTAGAGACGGGGTTTCACCATGTTGGGCAGGATGGTCTCAATCTCTTGACCTCATGATCCGCCCGCCTCGGCCTCCCAAAGTGCTGGGATTACAGGCGTGAGCCACTGTGCCCAGCTGGTAAAAATATTTTTTCATGGACTGAGACTTCATAAAACTTGTATTTGTCATCTTGCATAGACATACTTATTTGTCAAGAGTTTGTTATAGAAATATTTTCTGGGGCTGGGCACGGTGGCTCACGCCTATAATTCCAGCACTTTGGGAGGCTGAGGTGGGTGGATCACCTGAGGTCAGGAGTTCAGAACAGCCTGGTCAACATGGTGAAATCCCGTCTCTACTAAAAACACAAACATTAGCCGGGCATGGTGGTGAGCGCCTGTAATCCCAGCTACTCATGAGGCTGAGGCAGGAGAATCGCTTGAATCTGGGAGGCAAAGTTTGCAGTGAGCCGAGATCGTGCCATTGCACTCCAGCTTGGGCGACAAGAGCGAAACTGTTTCCAAAAAAAAAAAAAAAGAAAAGAAATATTTTCTCCATGTAATGGATGTAAACAATGAACTCTGTGAGTGCATAGATGCTGAATCTCCTGGACCTTACCTATAAGTGACATCAGGACATCAAGCAGGATTTGTCCCTCCACCCCCAGTTGAGTCCTAAACTCCAAAACCAGCTTGTAACTGATTAAAAGCAGTTATAGTTTGCCATCTGTTCCATCTGTGCTAAAGGTGTCTGAGGATCAAAAATTATGTGGCTGATTGAAACAATGAGTTCATGGGCCGGGCACGGTGGCTCACGCCTGTAATTCCAGCACTTTGGGAGGCCGAGGCGGGCGGATCACGAGGTCAGGAGATCGAGACCATCCTGGCTAACACAGTGAAACCCCGTCTCTACTAAAACAATACAAAAAATTAGCCGGGCATGGTGGGGGGCACCTGCAGTCCCAGCTACTCGGGAGGCTGAGGCAGGAGAATGGCGTGAACCCAGGAGGCAGAGCTTGCAGTAAGCTGAGATTGTGCCACTGCACTCCAGCCTGGGTGACAGGGCGAGACTGTCTCTCAAAACACACACACACACACACACACACACACACACACACACACACACACACAAAATGAGTTCATGAAAATTCAAATACTTTACCCTTACCAATTTAATCATTCACAGTGACCTCACAATCAGAGAACACATGCTCTCTCCATGAACTCTCCCCTTCAAGGTACATTCACAGCCTAAATACCAGAAGTAATTTTCTTTACGAACAAATTTACTGATTGACAAATAAGCATCCACACAGGAAGAAGAATGTTAGGGTGGCTGGAAATAACAGACATTCAAATACATCACACGGTTTAAAGAGGGGCCTAGTTTTCCTGAGTCCATTCCAAAGTCAGAAACAGGATGTGAGGGAGTGTGATAGGTGGTGCATGAGACTCCTTCTCCAGAATTTCCAAGGGATGGTAACTTAGATTCAGGTCTGGTCAAGAATAATAATGATGTTTGAAGATGAGGGGAATGAAATACATGTAGAGGCATCCTAGGATGCTTCAGTTCTAAAAAGAATTAATCTACTTCTTCAATTGTGGGGCCTGTGGCAGGCCTTCCAGGCACATACCCTGTTCCGCAGGCAGGCCCAGTGCATCCTCCTTGGTAGAGTTTTGTGATGATAGGGTTACACATCTGCTCCAATTCCTTTCTCTTATGATCAAACTCATCTTTCTCTGCCAGTTGATTGACCTCCAGCCACGAAAGGAGCTCGTTGCATTTATCCAATATTTTATTTTTATCAGACTCACTAATCTTGCCCTTCAAACCTTCATCACTCACAACACTCTTCATGTTAAAAGCATAGGATTCTAAGGCATTCTTTGCAGCAATTTTCTCCCTCTGGACCTCATCTTCAGCTTTATATTTCTCAGCATCCAGAACCATGCGCTCAATCTCCTCCTTGCTCAGGCGGCCCTTGTCATTGGTGATGGTGATCTTGTTCACCTTGCCGGTGCTCTTGTCCATGGCTGTGACATTGAGAATACCATTGGCATCAATGTCAAACGTCACCTCGATCTGAGGAACTCCCCTGGGTGCTGGAGGGATTCCAGTCAGGTCAAACCGCCCCAGCAGGTTGTTGTCCTTTGTCATGGCCCTCTCGCCCTCATACACCTGGATCAGCACCCCGGGTTGGTTGTCAGAGTAGGTGGTGAAAATCTGTGTCTGCTTGGTGGGGATGGTGGAGTTGCGCTTTATCAGGGCAGTCATCACGCCCCCAGCCGTCTCCAGCCCCAGGGACAGGGGAGCCACGTCCAGCAGCAGCAGGTCCTGTACCTTCTCAGACTTGTCCCCCATCAGGATGGCTGCTTGTACCGCAGCCCCATATGCTACGGCCTCATCAGGGTTGATGCTCTTGTTGAGATCACGTCCATTGAAGTAGTCCTGAAGCAGCCGCTGCACCTTGGGGATGCGGGTGGAGCCCCCTACTAAAACAATGTCATGGATTTTAGCCTTATCCATCTTGGCATCCCGAAGCGCTTTTTCTACAGGCTCCAGGGTACCCCTAAACAGGTCTGCACACAACTCTTCAAATCGAGCTCTGGTGATGGATGTATAGAAGTCAATGCCTTCATAAAGTGAATCAATTTCTAGGTTGGCCTGGGTGCTGGACGACAGGGTCCTCTTGGCCCTCTCGCAGGCGGTGCGCAGCCGCCTCACGGCTCGCTTGTTCTGGCTGATGTCCTTTTTGTGTTTCCTCTTGAACTCCTCCACGAAGTGGCTCACAAGCCTGTTGTCAAAGTCCTCCCCACCCAGGTGAGTGTCCCCAGCAGTGGCCTTTACCTCAAAAATCCCATCATCTATGGTCAGAATTGACACATCAAATGTGCCTCCACCCAGATCAAAAATCAGGACATGTCGTTCTCCTTGACCTCCTTTATCTAAACCATAGGCAATGGCAGCAGCCGTGGGCTCATTGATGATTCTTAGCACATTAAGTCCAGCAATCACACCTGCATCCTTAGTAGCCTGACGTTGAGAGTCATTGAAATAGGCTGGCACGGTAATCACTGCATTGGTGACAGGGTGGCCCAAAAAGGCCTCAGCAGTCTCCTTCAACTTAGTCAATACCATCGAAGAGATTTCCTCAGGGTAGAAAGCTTTATTCTCCCCTTTGTAGGACACAAGGACTTTGGGCTTGCCTCCTTCATTAATCACTTGAAAAGGCCAAAGTTTCATATCTGCTTGTACAACAGGATCATTAAATTTCCTGCCGATCAGACGTTTAGCATCAAAAACAGTGTTCTGGGGATTCATTGCTACCTGGTTCTTGGCCGCATCCCCAATGAGCCGCTCGGTGTCTGTGAAGGCCACGTAGCTGGGGGTGGTGCGGTTGCCCTGGTCGTTGGCGATGATCTCCACCTTGCCGTGCTGGAACACCCCCACACAGGAGTAGGTGGTGCCCAGGTCGATGCCTATGGCGATTCCCTTGGCAGTAGCCATGGTTCTCTGAGGCCTATGGAGAAAGAATAAGATACTGTTTTGGGAGAGTGCTTTTCAATGTTATTTATTTTTTTGAGACAGGGTCTTCCTCTGTCACCCAGGTTGGAGTGCAGAGGCGCAGTCATAGCTCACTGCAGCTTTGATCTCCTAGGCTCCAGCAATCTTCCTGCCTTAGCCTCCAGAATAACTGGAGACAACATGCCCGGCTAATTTTTTTTTTTTTTGAGACGGAGTCTTGCTTTGGACTGCAGTGGTGTGATCTAGGCTCACTGCAACCTCCACCTCCTGAGTTCAAGCGATTCTCCTGTCTCAGCCTCCCGAGTGGCTGGGATTATGAGGGCACCACCACGCCCAGCTAATTTTTGTATTTTTAGTAGAGATGGGGTTTCACGGTTTCACTATGTTGGCCAGGCTGGTCTCAAACTCCTGACCTCAGGTGATCCGCCCGCCTCGGCCTCCCAAAGTGCTGGGATTACATACGTGAGCCACCGTGACCAGCTCTCTGCCTGGCTAATGTTTTAATTTTGTGTACAGATGGGGTCTCCTTATGTTGCTCAGGCTGGTCTCAAACTCCTTCAGGGCTCAAACGATCCTTCAGCCCCAGCCTCCCCAAGTACTGGGATTACAGGAGTGAACATCTCGCCCAGCCTATTTTTTATTTTTTATTGTGGTAAAATACATACAAATTGTACCATCTTAACCATTTTTAAGTGTAGAGTTTGGTAGTGAGTTCAATCACAGCGGTGTTCAACCAATTTCCAGAATTCTGTTCATCTCGCAAAACTGAAACTGTATACTCATTAAGTAACTCCCGTTTTCCCCTCCCTTTATCGCCTGGTAACAAACATTTTTTTTTCTCATTTTTTAGAGACAGGGTCTCGTTTTGTCACGCAGGCTGCACTGCAGTGGTGTAATCATGGCTCACTGCAGTCTTGACCTCCCAGGCTCATAGGATCCTTTTGTCTCAGCCTCCCAAGTAGCTTGGACCACAGGTGAATGCCACCACACCCAGCTAATTTTTTATTTTTTTGTAGAGACCAGGTCTCCCTGTTGCCCAAGCTAGTTTCTCACTCCTGAGCTCAAGGAAACCTCCTCCCACCTCCAAGTCACCAAGTGTTAGGATTATAGGCTTGAGCCAAGGCGCCCGACCTCTTTTTTCTATCTCTATGAATTTGACTACTCTTGTAACTTCATATAAGTGGAATTATACAGTATTTATCCTTTTGTGACTTTGCTTATGTCACTTAGCTTATGTGCACAGGTTTCATCCATGTTGTAACATGTCACAATTTCCTTCCTAAGGCTGAGTAATATTCATATTTATATACCACTGTTTTTGATTTTGTTTTGAGACAGAGTCTCACTCTGTTACCCAGGCTGGAGTGCAGTGGCATGATCTTGGCTCACTGCAACCTCCACCTCCTGGGTTCAAGCTAATTCTCCAGCCTCAGCCTCCCGAGGAGCTGGGACTACAGGCGTGCACTGCCACGCCCAGATAATTTTTGTATTTTTAGTAAAAACAGAGTTTCACCATGTTGACCAGGATGGTCTCAAACTCCTAACCTTAAGTGATCCGCCCGCCTCGGTCTCCCTAAGTTCTGGGATGGCAGGCATGAGCCACCACCGCACCCGGCCTATATACATTTTGCTTATCTATCTCTCGATGGATACAGATTACAGAATTTACAGAATAATGTTGCTATGAGCAAGCCTATACAAATACATGGAGACGCTACTGTCATGGCAGACTGCTTTTTGGACAGGGTAGACAAAAGTATTCTCAGCTACTCAAAGAAGTTGGGAAGCAAGTAGCTGTATATTGTTTTCAATTTCCCAAGTGACCTAATTCTACTGTCCTGTTCCTATATATTTTACTGTGGGATTCTGTCTCTTTATGACCCAAGAGTAGTGTACATTCTGGTCTCTTCAAGAGACATCAGCCTCCACACTTGAGTTCTGCTGCCTTCCTGGGATAATATTCTCTATTAGGGGTTCACCGGCAGTAAATTCCAGTCAGGCTGAAGATGACTGCTAGAAAACCACAAGCCTTCCAGTTTTCTCAAACGACATGGCACTCCAGACAGTATCTGTATCCTTCTCCTAAATAAAACTCCTGTTTTCTGGAGCCAATAACTGATCAATAAAGGGTTTAAGGGCGGGGGGCGGTGGCTCACGCCTGTAATCCCAGCACTTTGAGAGGCCGAGGCGGGCGGATCACGGGGTCAGGAGAACGAGACCATCCTGGCTACCATCCTGGCTAACACGGTGAAACCTCGTCTCTACTAAAAAATAGAAAAAATTAGCTGGGCGTGGTGGCGGGCGCCAGTAGTTCCAGCTACTCGGATGGCTGAGGCAGGAGAATAGCTTGAACCCGGGAGGTGGAGCAATTAGCCGGGCGCGGTGGCGGGCGCCTGCAGTCCCTGCTACTCGGAAGGCTGAGGCAGGAGAATGGCCTGAACTCGGGAGGCAGAGCTTGCAGTGAGCCAAGATCGTGCCACTGCACTCCACCCTGGGCGACAGAGCGAGACTCCGTCTCAAAAAAAAAAAAAAATTAAAAATAAATAAATAAAAATAAAATAAAGGGTTTAGTGTCTATCCCTCTCCACACCGCAGATTCCTAGGCCGCACTCCCTTTCCCCCGCTTCCCAGTTACCCCGCCTCCCCCTTACCCCGCCTTCCCCGCCTCCCCATTTCCCCGACAGGCCGCACTCCCTTCCCCCGCCTCCCCCATTCTGGCTGCTCCGACCAATCAATCTGAAGCCATCTTAGCTTTCCCCAAGTGCTCCTCCTACCCGGATCAGCCAACGCCCACATACCTCAGGCTTAAACCAACTAGGGAACTTTCCAGTACTTTCCCAAACAAGGACCTACTGAGCCTTTCAGGTTCACAATCAATCAGATCCCTACTGGCTCACCTAGTCTCCCGACGCCTTCGCTTCAGTTTGGAAACGTCCAGATTACGCAGCCCCAGCGAGTAGGTGGGGGCTCCCTCAATATCAAACTGCACAACCGGGGTCCCCCCACCCCCCACCCCGTCCCTCCCTGCAAATTTGAGACGGCTCCAACTCAGTAATCTTTTTCCAAACTGGCCCATGAGGTCAGAGACAGTATCTCCATTGTAACGTGGCCGGGCGGTGTCAACACAAACGCCCCCACCCTCCCCTGGACGCGCGTAACCCGCTCCCCGCACCAGCCCCCTGCCCACAACTGCGCAGGCCCAGCAAGCCCCCACAATTAAAAGCCCAGCGCCGACCCTTCCTGTCAATTAGGCGCTGAAGCGCAGGCGGTCAGCATCGCCATGGAGACCAACACCCTTCCCACCGCCACTCCCCCTTCCTCTCAGGGTCCCTGTCCCCTCCAGTGAATCCCAGAAGACTCTGGAGAGTTCTGAGCAGGGGGCGGCACTCTGGCCTCTGATTGGTCCAAGGAAGGCTGGGGGGCAGGACGGGAGGCGAAACCCCTGGAATATTCCCGACCTGGCAGCCTCATCGAGCTCGGTGATTGGCTCAGAAGGGAAAAGGCGGGTCTCCGTGACGACTTATAAAAGCCCAGGGGCAAGCGGTCCGGATAACGGCTAGCCTGAGGAGCTGCTGCGACAGTCCACTACCTTTTTCGAGAGTGACTCCCGTTGTCCCAAGGCTTCCCAGAGCGAACCTGTGCGGCTGCAGGCACCGGCGCGTCGAGTTTCCGGCGTCCGGAAGGACCGAGCTCTTCTCGCGGATCCAGTGTTCCGTTTCCAGCCCCCAATCTCAGAGCCGAGCCGACAGAGAGCAGGGAACCGGCATGGCCAAAGCCGCGGCGATCGGCATCGACCTGGGCACCACCTACTCCTGCGTGGGGGTGTTCCAACACGGCAAGGTGGAGATCATCGCCAACGACCAGGGCAACCGCACCACCCCCAGCTACGTGGCCTTCACGGACACCGAGCGGCTCATCGGGGATGCGGCCAAGAACCAGGTGGCGCTGAACCCGCAGAACACCGTGTTTGACGCGAAGCGGCTGATCGGCCGCAAGTTCGGCGACCCGGTGGTGCAGTCGGACATGAAGCACTGGCCTTTCCAGGTGATCAACGACGGAGACAAGCCCAAGGTGCAGGTGAGCTACAAGGGGGACACCAAGGCATTCTACCCCGAGGAGATCTCGTCCATGGTGCTGACCAAGATGAAGGAGATCGCCGAGGCGTACCTGGGCTACCCGGTGACCAACGCGGTGATCACCGTGCCGGCCTACTTCAACGACTCGCAGCGCCAGGCCACCAAGGATGCGGGTGTGATCGCGGGGCTCAACGTGCTGCGGATCATCAACGAGCCCACGGCCGCCGCCATCGCCTACGGCCTGGACAGAACGGGCAAGGGGGAGCGCAACGTGCTCATCTTTGACCTGGGCGGGGGCACCTTCGACGTGTCCATCCTGACGATCGACGACGGCATCTTCGAGGTGAAGGCCACGGCCGGGGACACCCACCTGGGTGGGGAGGACTTTGACAACAGGCTGGTGAACCACTTCGTGGAGGAGTTCAAGAGAAAACACAAGAAGGACATCAGCCAGAACAAGCGAGCCGTGAGGCGGCTGCGCACCGCCTGCGAGAGGGCCAAGAGGACCCTGTCGTCCAGCACCCAGGCCAGCCTGGAGATCGACTCCCTGTTTGAGGGCATCGACTTCTACACGTCCATCACCAGGGCGAGGTTCGAGGAGCTGTGCTCCGACCTGTTCCGAAGCACCCTGGAGCCCGTGGAGAAGGCTCTGCGCGACGCCAAGCTGGACAAGGCCCAGATTCACGACCTGGTCCTGGTCGGGGGCTCCACCCGCATCCCCAAGGTGCAGAAGCTGCTGCAGGACTTCTTCAACGGGCGCGACCTGAACAAGAGCATCAACCCCGACGAGGCTGTGGCCTACGGGGCGGCGGTGCAGGCGGCCATCCTGATGGGGGACAAGTCCGAGAACGTGCAGGACCTGCTGCTGCTGGACGTGGCTCCCCTGTCGCTGGGGCTGGAGACGGCCGGAGGCGTGATGACTGCCCTGATCAAGCGCAACTCCACCATCCCCACCAAGCAGACGCAGATCTTCACCACCTACTCCGACAACCAACCCGGGGTGCTGATCCAGGTGTACGAGGGCGAGAGGGCCATGACGAAAGACAACAATCTGTTGGGGCGCTTCGAGCTGAGCGGCATCCCTCCGGCCCCCAGGGGCGTGCCCCAGATCGAGGTGACCTTCGACATCGATGCCAACGGCATCCTGAACGTCACGGCCACGGACAAGAGCACCGGCAAGGCCAACAAGATCACCATCACCAACGACAAGGGCCGCCTGAGCAAGGAGGAGATCGAGCGCATGGTGCAGGAGGCGGAGAAGTACAAAGCGGAGGACGAGGTGCAGCGCGAGAGGGTGTCAGCCAAGAACGCCCTGGAGTCCTACGCCTTCAACATGAAGAGCGCCGTGGAGGATGAGGGGCTCAAGGGCAAGATCAGCGAGGCCGACAAGAAGAAGGTGCTGGACAAGTGTCAAGAGGTCATCTCGTGGCTGGACGCCAACACCTTGGCCGAGAAGGACGAGTTTGAGCACAAGAGGAAGGAGCTGGAGCAGGTGTGTAACCCCATCATCAGCGGACTGTACCAGGGTGCCGGTGGTCCCGGGCCTGGGGGCTTCGGGGCTCAGGGTCCCAAGGGAGGGTCTGGGTCAGGCCCCACCATTGAGGAGGTAGATTAGGGGCCTTTCCAAGATTGCTGTTTTTGTTTTGGAGCTTCAAGACTTTGCATTTCCTAGTATTTCTGTTTGTCAGTTCTCAATTTCCTGTGTTTGCAATGTTGAAATTTTTTGGTGAAGTACTGAACTTGCTTTTTTTCCGGTTTCTACATGCAGAGATGAATTTATACTGCCATCTTACGACTATTTCTTCTTTTTAATACACTTAACTCAGGCCATTTTTTAAGTTGGTTACTTCAAAGTAAATAAACTTTAAAATTCAAGTGATGCCTTTTATTCCTTTATTTGGGGGTCAGTAGGGTCTGCATAGGTTGTTTTTCCCATAGCGTCTAAAATGGAATGGCATTTTTGCTTCCAGTAAGGGCAGATTTTGCAGAGGTGTGACTATTGTAATGTGATCCATTTGTGTTAGACAAATGGTATCCTCCAGTAAAGCTTCTTGATTCTGGCCAGGAGTGGTGGCTCAAGCCTGTAATCCCAGCACTTTGGGAGGCTGAGGTGGGCGGATCACTTGAGGTCAGGAGTTCCAGACCAACCTGGCCAATGTGGTGAAACCCTGTCTCTACTAAAAACACAAAAATTAGCTGGGCGTGGTGGTGCGTGCCTGTAGTCCCAGGGAGGCTGAGGCAGGAGAATCGTGTGAACCCAGGAAGCAGTGGTAGCAGTGAGCCGAGATCACGCCATTGCACTCTAGCCTGGGCATCACAGCAAGACTCCGTCTCACACACACACACAAAAAAGTAAAGTTTGTTGATGCTGATTGGGTTTAGCCTGAGGGTACAGAAAAAGTTTAACACCTGGGAGGGTAGCCTTAAAGTGATGTTTGTGTAAGATTGGTCTCAAAAGAGGTGGGAGGGGGGCGGGGATGTTTCTGCAAAAGTGGTCAAAAAGAATGCAGTTAGATGGGAGGCCAGCGCTCCTACCTCCTGTAGGTACACCTGATATGCTCATGGACTTGATACTTAATCTAGATTCAACATGGAATGGAAGGAGTGTCCTAAATTTCAAAGTGAAAAAACGGGTACATTCACTGGCTTGCTGAGTTATACACATGTGCTTTAGTTGTCATCTTTTAAAATGGAAGGGTTTGGCTCGATGCCTCTCTCATGACTGAAAGCATACTGAAATAGAAATGTCACATTCTTAGCAGTTATCACCTACAATTTAAGTACGCCAGTGAGCACCCGGGCCAGGAAGACCTACAGACTTCACTCCCATGCACTTTCCCTTGGAGATGCTTCATGCCCCAGCCGCTAGCATCCTAGAAGTAATTCCCTCCTCCTTGGAAAACGCCCACTACAATCCTTAAAGCTCCCGGAGTGAGCCCTTTTAAAAATGAATTGTATCTGGCCGGGCGTGCTGGCTCATGCCTGTAATCCCAGCACTTTGGGAGGCTGAGGCAGGCGGATCACCTGAGGTCAGGAGTTCGAGACCAGCCTGGCCAACATGGTGAGGACCCCCCCCACCACCCACCTCCTGCACTAAAAGTACAAAAATCAGCCAGGCGCGATGGTGTGCGCCTGTAATCCCAGCTATTCGGGAGGCTGAGGCAGGCGAATCGTTTGAACTCAAAGGCAGAGGTTTCAGTGAGCCGAGATTGCGCCACTGCACTCCAGCCTAGGTGACAGAGCGAGACTCCATCTCAAAAAATAAAAATTGTGTCGGCCAGGCGCAGTGGCTCATGCCTGTAATCCCAGCACTTTGGGAGGCCGAGGTGGGTGGATCACCTGAGGTCAGGAGTTCAAGACCAGCCTGGCCAACAGGGTGAAACCCCATCTCTACTAAAAATACAAAAAATTAGCTGGGCGTGGTGGCGGGCACCTATAATCCCAGCAACTTGGGAGGCTGAGGCAGAAGAATCGGTTGAACCCAGGAGGTGGATGTTGCAGTGAGCCAAGATCGTGCCATTGCACTCCAGCCTGAACAATGAGTGAAATTCTGTCTCAGTGAATAAATAAATAAATAGTATCTAAGGGCGATGAAAATGTTTTGGAACCAGAGTTGACGGTTGCATAACATTGTAAAGGTCAAGGCTGCAGTGAGCCATGACTGTACCACTGCACTCCAGCCTGAGCAACAGAGTGAGACCCTGTCTCTAAAAAAAAAAAAAAGAAAAAAAAATCAATTGTATCAATATTACATTAAAGCACTTTATGAGCTTATGTGTACCTCAAAGCCCATCAAACCATTCACTAAATACTTGTTAATGAAGAAAATCCAGTGTTATGGGAAATGATACATAAAGGTAGACCTTGCTTTGGAAGTTTGAAAATAGAAAATAAATATGAAATGCTTAGGTTTCCAGGCCAGTCTACAGAGGAACATTTATCTCTTATGGTAGTTAAACTGTAGTACTGTGGACTCTGGCCACAATGTAAATCAATCTTCATGGGAATATGCCTTTGCTATAGGACCTCCTCTCCCCTTCAGAGCTGCAGTAGCATTTGTGACTCTGATCTGCAGACCCTGTAGTGACTCTAAACCAGGAGCAACTACCACTACTGTGGCATGGAGTGGGGAAAAAGGTAATTGGAAAAGGGTGGAGATGGGGAAGGACCTACCAAATGCCTTTGTTGACACAGTAGAGAAGTCATCAGACATAACATTGAATGGAGGCAATAAGAGAGTTCCTATGGCCCTATCAAGCTTATTAGTAGGTGTTTTAACAAGAAATATGTAAAAATTATTACTTGTCGGCCGGGCGTGGTGGCTCATGCCTGTAATCCCAGCACTCTGGGAGGCCGAGGCGGGTGGCTCACTAGGTCAGGAGTTCAAGACAAGCCTGGCCAAGATGGTGAAACCCCACCTCTACTAAAAATACAAAAATTAGCTAGGCGTGGTGGTGGGCGCCTGTAATCCCAGCTACTCAGGAGGCTGAGGCAGGAGACTCACTTGAACCCGGGAGGTGGAGGTTGCAGTGAGCCGAGATCGTGCCACTGCACTGCAGCCTGGGCGACAGAGCAAGACTCCGTCTCCAAAAAAAAAAAAAAAAAAAAAAAATTGT
Source organism: Homo sapiens (assembly GCF_000001405.40). Taxonomy (NCBI): domain Eukaryota; kingdom Metazoa; phylum Chordata; class Mammalia; order Primates; family Hominidae; genus Homo; species Homo sapiens. The sequence continues at coordinate 3,076,512 of NT_167248.2, forward strand.
TTGCCTGCATACCCTAGCACAGAGTACTGTACCTTGAAATATTCACTTTGTAACCTCAAGAAAAGACGTTGAGGGAGCTGTGGAATTAGCAAAGAGAATGCAGTGCCACCCATAAACGGAGTGATGTTTTGAGGAGCAGAGGAACTTTGAGGGAGGAAAGTGCAACAGGAAAAATAACTGCAGGTGTGGAAAAACAAATATAAATATCTTCTCAATTCCAATCACCTCCTACCTTCCTATACCAGGCCTCAGAAGGCAGCAGGCTATGATAATAAATTTGATTTTATATGGCTTTGAACCCAGGATTTTATTTTATAACATATACACTTACTGTTATTCCTGGTCTTCAAGAGTTCTTGTCATCCTCAAAAAGACAAAAAAGGTACCAAAACAAAAAATTAACTACAGTATTTTATAGATGTGAGAGAAGTGGGCAGAAATAATACGGCTTTAGGCTAAAAAAGGAAATGAGGTTATTTCTTGGGGGAGCCAATATTGGCGATTTCTGAGGGAGCGATCCTTACGTGAATATAAAAAATTGTGACAGCCACCATTCCTCCTGCTAACTGATCTAAATCCATCCCCTTGGGAAACGCCCCTGAGGTATCTATCAGGTGTAGTTCAGCCAGAGGGAGTAAACCCACCGGGCCCTCGTCCTTTCCTAGCACCACCATTTAAAGGGATGTTTGAGGGGTAGGGCAGCGGAGCATTCCAGACACGGAGTTAAACCCGCCCCACCCCGCTGGCCCACGTCCAGCCCGATCAAGAATTGGAGGAGAGAGGAGCAGGGCGTGGTGGCGCGGGCCTGGAGTCCCAGCTACCCGGGAGGCTGGGGCGGGAGGATCGCTTGAGGCTGCAGTGAGCCGTGATTGCGCCACTGCACTCCAGTCTGGGCGACAAAGCGAGACCCTGCCTCAAAAAAAAGTGAAAAAAAAAAAAATTAGAAGGGAGGGCACCAGAGGAGGGCTGGAGCAGGTTCACAGGCTGGGACTACGGAGGAGCCCAGCAACCGAGAATCACTCCTGAGGGTCTAATTTTCTTACTCTCCTGATGCCTCACGGGGCGAGGGACTAGAACGGGGCGCTGAGCTGGCTGTAGGCAAAAGCCAACCGACTCCATCCCCTACTCTCCCATCAGTCGCGCGTCCCCGCGCAGACGGGTGCGCGCTGGCCGTGGGCGGTGGGGACCTTCTCTTCTCGCCTCTGGCCACCCAATGCATCTGATTTAGTTGTATGAAAGTTACAAAATTCTCCAATATTTTCGTCTTGTAAATCACCTAGTATGAGAGAAACTCGAAAGGTCCTTTCTTTCCTCCTTTAATCCCTTTTTGGAAAAAAAAAAACATCAGAAAACGCAGGAGTCGGATAGGCAGCCCCGAAGCCAGCCCCGCCCTCAGGCCCCAGCGGCCCCGCCTTTTCTCCCCCCGCCCCCCCCCCCGCACTCCCCACCTTTCCTCCCCTTTGGCTGAGGCTTTTTCCCCCGTCGCTGGCTCTGCCCGAAGTTTCTAGAGTTTTCTGACCTTCAAGGCGAGAACTGCTGTGTCATTCTTAGGGACACTCCCCAACAAACTGCGCCACCCGAGTCTCTCCCTCCTCTCGCCAGCCGGCCCTAAAACATCAAGGTTAGTCAGGACTCTATATTTAACGTCCGGAAGATTCTGTGAACTATATGCCAACCTTGCCCTAGTAACGGGGCTCCCCCCTCCTTTCCCCTCTTTCTGCTTGAGCAATCTGTTCTATCGGAAAGGAGAGGCAGGGCTGGGAGAGCTGGAAGGTGGGGAAGGCAAGAGCTTGTAGGGGCCATGGTCTTGAGTCCGAAGAGCAGAGCAGCAGCCAGGACGGGAGTCCCTGGCTGATCACATACCCGTGGTGCCCTTAATGCTCGCAGAGGCCAACACTGTATTCATTTGTTTTCCTCTTTAGAGAATAAAACAATTAGGTCTAACCACAAAATTAAAAGCAAACAAAACCCAGTTAGGTTGATGAGCCAATGTGGGAAGGAGTACAAAATGAGTGTCAGAACCCGTGGGTCCAATCACCGGTTCTGTAACCTGTCATCTGGGTAACCAGATCAAGCCACTGAACTTCTTTGATCCTTGGTGCTGTCTTTGAAAATGAAAAGGTTTGACTGAATGGCCTGTGCCCGCAGATCTTAGGACAGTTTTTACATTAAGCTGAAAGCAGCTGTAGTCCTAATAATGGTCCCCAACTTTTAAACACCTAAATAAGAATGACTACGAGTCATATCCGAGAGTATGGGATCCCCAATAAAAGGAGGGAGAAGATCATATTCTCTTTGATCATGTAGGGAAAAAAAATTTTTTTATTCGAGACAGGATCTCTGTCTCCCAGGCTGGAATGCAGTGGCGTGATCATAGCTCACTGCAGCCTTGACCTCTTGTGCTCAAGCGATCCTCCTGCCTCAGCCTCCCAAGTAGCTGGGACTACAGGCACCTGCCACCACGCCCAGCTAACTTGTAAAGTTTTTAGTAGAGATGGTGTCCCACTATGTTGCCCAGGCTGATCTTGGACTTCTGAGTTCAAGTGCCTGCCTTGGCTTCCTAAAGCACTGGGATTACCGACCTGAGTCACCACACGCAGTTCAGTTATTGTTAATTATGTTTTAGAGATGAACACGTCGAAACTTGTGTTATTTAGTCAATGTACAAGTACTTCCTTGTTGAAAAGAAAAACAGCCTCACCAAAGAAGTAGAGCGCAGATGCAAATCCAGGATTTTCCCTTCCCAGATTTTTTCTTTCCATGCTGCTAGAAATGGCCAGGGTTCTCTTTGTCATTGAAGCATTTGTCATTCATTCAGTTAAGAATGCCTGCCTCTAGATTTCATATCAATTAACTCTTTTGCTTTCATTTAAGTTCATTTGGATAAACTTAAAATTATAACAGCTTTTTTTTTTAATTTATTATTTTTTTGAGACAGAGTCTTGCTCTGTCACCCAGACTGGAGTGTAGTGGTGCGATCTCAGCTCACTGCAACCTCCACCTCCCAGGTTCAAGTGATTCTCCTGCCTCAGCTCCTGAGTAGCTGGGATTACAGATGTGCACCACCACGTCCGGCTAATTTTTGTGTTTTTAGGAGAGAAGGGGTTTTGCCATGTTTGCCGGGCTGGTCTTGAACTCCTGATCTCAGGTGATCCACCCATCTCGGCCTCCCAAAGTGCTGGGATTACATGCATGAGCCATCGCGCCCGGCCTATACCATCTTTTAAAATGAACAAAATTAAGAAAACTACTGTTTGAGGAACTATAAAAAGGAGAGGGAGAAGGAAGGAAAAGACCCTGCAGCGTCAGCCTGAAGAAGGCTGTCTTACCCCACACTGCTGTAGCAATTATGTTCTTGGCACTCCCTCTTCAGTTCTCTTGTCCCTTTGAAAGCATCTAACCTGGCTTTCACTTTGGGGACTCTGAGCTCTGATCCTTCCAAACACAGAATCCAATAAAAACCTAATTCTGAAATTAATCACATTAAAGTTCTGAAAAATCTCCTGGGGTTCTTATATATTCACCTTAGACAGCAATTAAACTTGTGACTGGATTTCTGCCTTGGGAAGCATCCAGTCTGAAAGGAAAGAAAAGGCCGGCGTGGTGCTTCATGCCTGTAATTCCAGCACTTTGGGCGGCCCAGACGGGCGGATCACTTGAGGTCAGGAGTTCGAGACCAGACTGGCCAACATGACGAAACCCCCTCTCTACTAAAAATACAAAAATTAGCCAGGCGTGGTGGTGTGCACCTGTAATCCCAGCCACTCAGGAGGCTGAGGCAGGAGAATCGCTTGAACCTGGGAGGTGGAGGTTGCAGTGAGCCAAGACTGTGCCATTGCACTCCAGCCTGGGCGACAGAGCAAGACTCTGTCTCAAAAAAAAAAAAAAGAAAAAAAAAAGAAAATTCAGGTGACCCTCTCCTTGTCAGGAAATGGACAAGGAATATGTATGTGTGGGTTTCCAGTCTAGTCCACAGAGGCTTCACTTAAAAGCTAGGTCAACTATAGCACTGTAGACTCTGACTAGTGTGACTGATTGAAGAAAAACAGCATTTATATTGGATTTTTCTGCTATCCAGAGAGCACCCAAGATTTGGGGTCCCAACACCACATCTACTTGCTAGGCAGTTGAGACAGTGATGCCCTTTGCTTCATGCCAATAGAGAGGTTTTTTCTCCCCCTCTCCCACCCCCCACTCCCCACTTTTTATGTTTCTCAGCAGAATCAGAGAAGTATTTTATTTTTGAGAAGGAGTTTCGCTCTTGTTGCCCAGGCTGGAGTGCAGTGGCGCGATCTCGGCTCACCGCAACCTCCGCCTCCTGGGTTCAAATGATTCTCCTGCCTCAGACTCCCAAGTAGCTGGGATTACAGGCATGCGCCACCATGCCCAGGTAATTTTTTTTTTTTTTTTTTTTTGGTATTTTTAGTAGAGACCGGCTTTCTCCATGTTGGTCAGGCTGGTCTCGAATTTCTGACCTCAGGTGATCTGCTGCTTCGGCCTCCCAAAGTGCTGGGATTACAGGTGTGAGCCACTGTGCTGGCCTTTTAAATTGTGGATTTGGAAGGAGGGAAGGAATGAATCCAGACCTGCCAGTAGTAGCAGTTGATGGTGAGGAAGTTTCCAGAGGGAGGGGTGAGGTTAAGGGTCTCTGGAAGTGTTGATACACTGTGCAGCTAAGATGAACATAGTTTGGGAGAATCTCCAGCCAGACATTTCATAGAGAAATGTTTGGGAAAATTCCTGAAGTTTGACCGGTTTGACTAGTTTAGAGAGGTGATTCATTAGGGAGCTAAAGCTGAATGTGAAAGTTATCACCTACCTGCACATACAGACACACACATATTGTTAAAGCAATTTATTTGCAACATGAGTTTAGATCAGTGAATTATAAACAAATGAATACCCTTAAATTCCAGGAAGAGGTGTTTTGATAGTGGACAGGTGTGTGTGTGCAGGTGTGCATATGAAAAGTGCCAATTGAGCAAAGTGTTTAAAAACAGGATTATTCCTTCATCAGTAACTTCTTCCTTTCATTTGTGCTCAAGGAATATCGCCATGGCAATGAGGCTATTTTTTTTTTCTTTTCTTTTTTTTTTTTGTGGTAGGTTGTAAACACAGTACTATTGCTTCAACCCCCTCACATTTTCCTTTCAGACGCCTAACAAAGGGTCTTGCATTCACACTAAGAATGAAGGAAAAAAACAAAGGGAAAGTAAATTACTAAATGCAACCGTATTTAAAACAGGAGGAAGGAGAATCCGCAGGAAGTTGGAATCTAGGATAAAAACTTAGACACATTCAGCCTGGCCAACATGGCGAAACCCTGTCTCTATTAAAAATACAAAAATTAGCCCGGCGTGGTGGCACATCCTGTAATTCCAGCTATTGGGGAGGCTGAGGCAGCAGAATTGTTTGAACCCCAGGGGCAGAGGTTGCAATGAGCAGAGATCTCACCACTGCACTCCAGCCTGGGCGACAGAGTGAGACTCAGTCTCAAAACAAACAAACAAAAACAACAGGCCGGGAATGGTGGCTCACGCCTGTAATCCCAGCACTTTGGGAGCCCGAGGTGGGCGGATCACGAGGTCAGGAGTTCGAGACCAGCCTGACCAACATGGGCGGATCACGAGGTCAGGAGTTCGAGACCAGCCTGACCAACATGGGGAAACCCTGTCTCTACTAAAAATACAAAAATTAGCCAGGCGTGGTGGCGCACGCCTGTAATCCTAGCTACTCAGGAGGCTGAGGTAGGAGAATTGCTTAAACCCGGGAGGCGGAGGTTGCAGTGAGCCGAGATCACGCCACTGCACTCCAGCTTGGGCGACAGAGCGAGACTGTCTCAAAACGAAAACAACAAACTTAAGACACATAACCTGAGGTGTTAAGAGGAGCTAGTAACTAGAACCTGGGTCCCAACCCCTCCTGCTTTCCAGCATCACTCCACACAGTTTGCTTAAAGAGGGCCACCTGCCAAACAGCTGTAGTATGTGATGTTAAAGAGAGCTAAACACCCCCCGCACCTCCCTCCCAGGGTCACCATCTTGTTAAATTTGACCTAAAAACGGTAACAGCCTAGGGGTTTCAGGGACAGACAGAAAATCTTACTCGGGACTGTGAGGTCCTACTTCTACACACTGTCCAGGAGTGAACCAGGAATTGAGAAAGTAGGAAGGAGGTGTCCCAGACCCCAAGCTAGGAATGGGGAGGGAAATGGAGGAATCCCAAATGCCTTAAGGACGGCCTACATACTAAGGAAAATTTTTTTCTAACTCCTGGTTGCAGCTGAGGGGAGCGGCTGAGGGCGGGGACAGGGGTGCGGCGGACCCACTGCTCCCATTACCCGACCAGCGCCTCCCTTCCTCCTTGGATGGGTGCCCCTGTCTTGCTAAGAACTGCCTGTTTACACAACTGCTTTCCTTGTGAAAATTTAAAGGCTCCTATTCCCAGTTGTTCTATCCTTGTAGGTTAAAGATTATGTCAAAAACTATATTGCATTATCTCTTTCCTTCTCCTTCCCATTAAGACGGAAAAAACATCCGGGAGAGCCGGTCCGTTTCTCAGGCAGACTAGGCCATTAGGTGCCTCGGAGAAAGGACCCAAGGCTGCTCCGTCCTTCACAGACACAGTCCAATCAGAGTTTCCCAGGCACATCGATGCACCGCCTCCTTCGAGAAACAAGGTAACTTTCGGGTTCTGGTTGTCTCCAAAGTCATCCGACCAATCTCGCACCGCCCAGAGCGGGCCCTTCCTGTCAATTACCTACTGAAGGGCAGGCGGCCAGCATCGCCATGGAGACCAACACCCTTCCCACCACCACTCCCCCTTTCTCTCAGGGCCCCTGTCCCCTCCAGTGAATCCCAGAAGACTCTGGAGAGTTCTGAGCAGAGGGCGGCACCCTGCCCTCTGATTGGTCCAAGGAAGGCTGGGGGGCAGGACGGGAGGCGAAACCCCTGGAATATTCCCGACCTGGCAGCCTCATCGAGCTTGGTGATTGGCTCAGAAGGGGAAAGGCGGGTCTCCACGACGACTTATAAAAGCCGAGGGGCGCGCGGTCCGGAAAACGGCCAGCCTGAGGAGCTGCTGCGAGGGTCCGCTTCGTCTTTCGAGAGTGACTCCCGCGGTCCCAAGGCTTTCCAGAGCGAACCTGTGCGGCTGCAGGCACCGGCGTGTTGAGTTTCCGGCGTTCCGAAGGACTGAGCTCTTGTCGCGGATCCCGTCCGCCGTTTCCAGCCCCCAGTCTCAGAGCGGAGCCCACAGAGCAGGGCACCGGCATGGCCAAAGCCGCGGCGATCGGCATCGACCTGGGCACCACCTACTCCTGCGTGGGGGTGTTCCAACACGGCAAGGTGGAGATCATCGCCAACGACCAGGGCAACCGCACCACCCCCAGCTACGTGGCCTTCACGGACACCGAGCGGCTCATCGGGGATGCGGCCAAGAACCAGGTGGCGCTGAACCCGCAGAACACCGTGTTTGACGCGAAGCGGCTGATCGGCCGCAAGTTCGGCGACCCGGTGGTGCAGTCGGACATGAAGCACTGGCCTTTCCAGGTGATCAACGACGGAGACAAGCCCAAGGTGCAGGTGAGCTACAAGGGGGAGACCAAGGCATTCTACCCCGAGGAGATCTCGTCCATGGTGCTGACCAAGATGAAGGAGATCGCCGAGGCGTACCTGGGCTACCCGGTGACCAACGCGGTGATCACCGTGCCGGCCTACTTCAACGACTCGCAGCGCCAGGCCACCAAGGATGCGGGTGTGATCGCGGGGCTCAACGTGCTGCGGATCATCAACGAGCCCACGGCCGCCGCCATCGCCTACGGCCTGGACAGAACGGGCAAGGGGGAGCGCAACGTGCTCATCTTTGACCTGGGCGGGGGCACCTTCGACGTGTCCATCCTGACGATCGACGACGGCATCTTCGAGGTGAAGGCCACGGCCGGGGACACCCACCTGGGTGGGGAGGACTTTGACAACAGGCTGGTGAACCACTTCGTGGAGGAGTTCAAGAGAAAACACAAGAAGGACATCAGCCAGAACAAGCGAGCCGTGAGGCGGCTGCGCACCGCCTGCGAGAGGGCCAAGAGGACCCTGTCGTCCAGCACCCAGGCCAGCCTGGAGATCGACTCCCTGTTTGAGGGCATCGACTTCTACACGTCCATCACCAGGGCGAGGTTCGAGGAGCTGTGCTCCGACCTGTTCCGAAGCACCCTGGAGCCCGTGGAGAAGGCTCTGCGCGACGCCAAGCTGGACAAGGCCCAGATTCACGACCTGGTCCTGGTCGGGGGCTCCACCCGCATCCCCAAGGTGCAGAAGCTGCTGCAGGACTTCTTCAACGGGCGCGACCTGAACAAGAGCATCAACCCCGACGAGGCTGTGGCCTACGGGGCGGCGGTGCAGGCGGCCATCCTGATGGGGGACAAGTCCGAGAACGTGCAGGACCTGCTGCTGCTGGACGTGGCTCCCCTGTCGCTGGGGCTGGAGACGGCCGGAGGCGTGATGACTGCCCTGATCAAGCGCAACTCCACCATCCCCACCAAGCAGACGCAGATCTTCACCACCTACTCCGACAACCAACCCGGGGTGCTGATCCAGGTGTACGAGGGCGAGAGGGCCATGACGAAAGACAACAATCTGTTGGGGCGCTTCGAGCTGAGCGGCATCCCTCCGGCCCCCAGGGGCGTGCCCCAGATCGAGGTGACCTTCGACATCGATGCCAACGGCATCCTGAACGTCACGGCCACGGACAAGAGCACCGGCAAGGCCAACAAGATCACCATCACCAACGACAAGGGCCGCCTGAGCAAGGAGGAGATCGAGCGCATGGTGCAGGAGGCGGAGAAGTACAAAGCGGAGGACGAGGTGCAGCGCGAGAGGGTGTCAGCCAAGAACGCCCTGGAGTCCTACGCCTTCAACATGAAGAGCGCCGTGGAGGATGAGGGGCTCAAGGGCAAGATCAGCGAGGCGGACAAGAAGAAGGTTCTGGACAAGTGTCAAGAGGTCATCTCGTGGCTGGACGCCAACACCTTGGCCGAGAAGGACGAGTTTGAGCACAAGAGGAAGGAGCTGGAGCAGGTGTGTAACCCCATCATCAGCGGACTGTACCAGGGTGCCGGTGGTCCCGGGCCTGGGGGCTTCGGGGCTCAGGGTCCCAAGGGAGGGTCTGGGTCAGGCCCTACCATTGAGGAGGTGGATTAGGGGCCTTTGTTCTTTAGTATGTTTGTCTTTGAGGTGGACTGTTGGGACTCAAGGACTTTGCTGCTGTTTTCCTATGTCATTTCTGCTTCAGCTCTTTGCTGCTTCACTTCTTTGTAAAGTTAAGTTGTAACCTGATGGTAATTAGCTGGCTTCATTATTTTTGTAGTACAACCGATATGTTCATTAGAATTCTTTGCATTTAATGTTGATACTGTAAGGGTGTTTCGTTCCCTTTAAATGAATCAACACTGCCACCTTCTGTACGAGTTTTTTTTTTTTTTTTTTTTTTTTTTTTTTTGCTTGGCGAAAACACTACAAAGGCTGGGAATGTATGTTTTTATAATTTGTTTATTTAAATATGAAAAATAAAATGTTAAACTTTTTCTTGTCTGTTAATATGTGAAGATAATGGATATTTGCGGAGGGATAGTGTCTGAATACCATCTATCTTTATAGTCTGAAAAGAACAGTACTGCTGAAGAGTTATACGTGTAGGAGTTAGAGCTACACATATTTTTGTTTGGGCTTAATTGTGGGCCTTAAGAGAAATTGCAGGTGCCCGTCTTGATTAGAGTGGGGCTTGTTTCAGGGAAAAGTCGGATGGCAGCTGCAAAACGGTATTGGAGGGGTGGTTGAGGTGGGTTCACTGGGGCGGGGAGGGGAGGGGTGGTGCTGAGATGGGATTATGGTGGTTTTCTCTCCCTCTTCTACTTAGTGAGCGGAGTCCACAAAAAAATGCTGACTTTTTTTTTTTTTTTTTTTGAGACGGAGTCTCACTCTCACTCTTGTCGCCCAGGCTGGAGTGCAGTGGCGCAATCTCAGCTCACGGTAACTTCCGCCTCCCGGGTTCAAGCGATTCTCCTGCCTCAGCCTCCTGAGTAACTGGGACTACAGGCGCCTGCCACCACGCCTGGCTAATTTTTTGTATTTTTGGTAGAGACAGCGTTTTACCGTGTTAGCCAGGATGGTCTCAATCTCCTGACCTCGGCTCATATTCATTTATATGTGGAATCTAAACAGTAGAACTCAGAAGCAGAGAAGTGGTGGTCACCAAGGGCTGTGGGATGGGGGAATGGGGAGACGTGCAAGGGAAACAAAGCCTTAGTCAGGAGAAATAAATTGTATTTTTTTTTTTTTTGAAACGGGATATTGCTCTGTCACCCAGGCTGGAGCACAGTAGAGCTCACTGTAGTCTCAAACTCCTGGGTTCAAGCAATCCTCCCACCTTAGCCTCCTGAGTACTGGGTCTACAGGTATGTGCCATCATGCTCAGCTAATTTTTTGTATTTTGTAGAGACGAAGTCTTGCTGTGTTGCCCAGGTTGGTCTCGAACTCTTCAGCTCAAGCGATCCCCTTGTCTAGTCCTCCCAAAGTGCTGGGATTATAGGCGTGAGCCACTGTGCCCTGCCAGTTTTTGTGTTTTTTTTTGGGGGGGTGGTGGGTGGAGGGTATATATTGCATGGCATGGTGAAAATAGTTAATAGTGTATTGTATATTTCAAAATTTCAAATGTTCTTGTCACAAAAATATTTGAGGTGATATGTTAATTAGCTTGATTTAATTACTCCATATTGTGTTAATAACTACTTTGTACCAATATATGCAACTAAAGTTTGTCAATTTACAAAAAGAATTTAAAAATCAAATAAAATGGGCCAGGTGCGATGGCTCATGCCTATAATCCCAGAATTTAGGGAGGGTGAGGTGGGCGGATCACTTGAGGTCCGGAGTTCAAAACCAGCCTGGCCAACATAGCGAAAACCCATCTCTACAAAAAACAATAGAATTAGCTGGCCGGGCGTGGGGGCTCACGCCTGTAATCCCAGCACTTTGGGAGACCGAGGTGGGACGGTTGGATCACCTAAGGTCAGGAGTTCCAGACCAGCCTGGTCAACATGGTGAAACCCTGTCTCTACTAGGTGGGCACGGTGGGGCATGTCTATAATCCCAGCTACATGGAAGGCTGAGGAAGGAGAATCACTTGAACCCTGGAGGCGGAGGTTGTAGTGAGTTGAGATTGCGCCACTGTACTCCACCCTGGGTGACAGAGCAATACTTCATCTCAAAAAAACATAAATAAAACGGTTAAAGTCCTGTGTTGCACCTTTGTGTAAATCCTTACCCTCTAGGGTTTTAAAATGTTTTAAATCCTTAAAACGTTTTAAGGATTACATAATACTGGAAATCCTCCTTGAAAGTGTATAAAAGAAAAGGAATATAGTAAGTTTCTTTGGTTTTGGGGCCAAGTTTTTTTTTTTTTTTTTTTTTTTTGAGACAGAGTTTCACTTTTGTTGCCCAGGCTGGAGTACAGTGGAGCAATCTCGGCTCACTGCAACCTCTACCTCCCAGGTTCAAACGATTCTCCTGCCTCAGCCTCCCAAGTAGCTGGGATTACAGGCACCGGCCACTATGCTCAGCTAATTTTTTGTATTTTTAGTACAGACGAGGTTTCCGCCATGTTGGGCAGGCTGGTCTCGAACTCCTGACCTCAGGTGATCTGCCTGCCTTGGCCTCCCAAAGTGCTGGGATTATAGGCGTGAGCCACTATGCCCGGCCCTTGGGCCAATTCTTAAAGGCCTGTTTTATTAATGAAAGAGATGAACTAGGCCAGGCGCGGTGGCTCACACCTATAATCCCAGCACTTTGGGAGGCCGAGGCGGGCGGATCACCTGAGGTCTGGAGTTCGAGACCAGCCTGACCAACATGGAGAAACCCCATCTCTACTAAAAATACAAAATTAGCCGGGTGTGGTGGCGCATGCCTGTAATCCCAGCTACCCTGGAGGCTGAGGCAGGAGAATGGCTTGAACCTGGGAGGCGGAGGTTGCTGTGAGCCGAGATCGCGCCATTGCACTCCAGCCTGGGCAACAAGAGCGAAACTCTGTCTCAAAAAAAAAAAAAAAAAAAAAAAGAGGAACTAAAGCCTCTGACCATAGCACTTAGTAAAGGCAGCTTAACTGCCAAAACAGCAGGAATTAGGGCTTTCTGTATATATATATATATTTTTTTAAGGCAGGGTCTCACTCTGTTGCCCAGGCTAGAGTGCAGTGGTATGATCACGGTTCATGGCAGCCTCGACCTCCTGGGCTCAATTGATCCTTAGCCTCCTGATTAGCTGGGACTACACGTGTATGCCACCACCCATAGCTAATCTTTTTTTTATATACTTGCCAGGCAGTAGAGGGAACAAATACTTTAGCTTTGAGCCATGGCTCTCCACCCTAATGGAACAATAAAACGATTAAGGGATGCTAAAAAAATACAGATGCCAGGCCTCTCTCAGGCCAATTCAGAATCTCAAAGAGGGCAGTGTAGACATTTAAAGCTGCCCAGGTGTTTGTAATTTGCAGCCAATGTGGAGAAAACCACTGAACTGGGCTGGCCACGGTGGCTCACGCCTGTAATCCCAGCACTTTGGGAGGCCGAGGTGGGAGGATCACTGAGGTTCACCAGTTCAAAACCAGCCTGGGCCAACATGGTGAAAACCCCTGTCTCTACTAAAAATATATAAAATTAACTGGGTGTGGTGGCAGATGCCTGTAATCTCAGCTACTCAGGAGGCTGAGGCAAGAGAATCACTTGAACCCGGGAGGCAGAGGTTGTAGTAAGCCGAGATCATGCCACTGCACTCCAATCTGGGTAACAGAGCAAGACCCTATCTCAAAAAAAAAAAAAAAGAAAAAGAAAAAAAAAAAAAAAAGAAGAGGCCAGGCTCGGTGGCTCACACCTATAATCCTGGCACTTTGTGGAGGCCTAGGCAGGCAAATCACCTGAAGTCAGGAGTTCGAGACCAGCCTGGCTTACATGGTGAAACCCTGACTCTACTAAAAATATAAAAATTAGCCAGGCATGGTTGTGTGCACCTGTAATCCTTGCTACTTCGGAGGCTGAGGCAGGAAAATCGCTTGAACCGAGGAAGCGGAGGTTGCAGTGAGCCGAGATCCCGCCACTGCTCTCCAGCCTGGGCAACAGAGTCAGACTCCGTCTCAAAAAAGAAAAAGATACCAACACACACAACACACATCACCAAACATCATACGCGTTTATAAATGGGGGCGATAGGAAAGGGTCCAGAAAGGATTTGAAATGACTTATGAGTTTCAATAATTTTTTTTTTTTTGAGACAGAGTCTCGCCCTGTCGCCCAGGCTGGAGTGCAGTGGCGCAATCTCGGCTCACTGCAAGCTCGGCGTCCTGGGTTCACGCCATTTTCCTGCCTCAGCCTCCCGAGTAGCTGGGACTACAGGCGCCGCCACCACACTCTGCTAATTTTTTTTTAGTAGAGACGGGGTTTCACCGTGTTAGCCAGGATGGTCTCGATCTCCTGACCTCGTGATCCACCTGCCTCGGCCTCTCAAAGTGCTGGGATTACAGGCGTGAGCCACCGCGCCCGGCCTAATTTTTAAATAAATAGAGACGGGGGTTGGGTGTCACTATTTGCCCAGGCTGGTCCCGAACTCCGGGCCTCAAATGATCCTCTGCCTGGGCCTGTCCAAAGTGTTGAGATTACAGGCGTGACCTATTACGTCCGACCTGCCTTTTGGGTTTTTGGTTTTTGTTTTGTTTTGTTTAATTGAAGGTTAGGGTGCCTGACAGTCTGCGGGATCGAACTGGGAGGCAAATTCAGATTTCGCTGGGGGAACGGAGTGCGAAGTGTCAGGGTAGCTGGACGCTAAACTGGCGCAGCTGCGCGCGCCCGCGCGCGCGCGGGAAGAGTCCCAGGGTCATTAACGGACCATGGGCTGCTGGGAAACGGCTTAGGAGCAGCACCCGGCTGGCGCTGGCCGGCCGGCGCCGGGGACTTTCTTCCGCCTGGCCAGACAGATCCCTGTTTTTTGTTTTTCAAAATTCAGAAAGCATCTCCGAATATTTGCCCAGAGGAGTGTGAAACATACTTTCCTGGTCTTTCTTTCACTTTGTTTTATTTCTGTGTGGACAAACAATGGGGAAAATGCCGCGCGTCTAGCCAGGCAGATAAGAAAACAACTATACCCGTCAGGCCCCCAACCCGGCGCCGCCATAAATGGCCCCGGCCTCGCCATTTTAGTTCTTTTTGCGAAGTGGGCTCGTGGGTTGGCAGTATGAGAGTTGTAATGGCCCGACTGTTGAGTGAGGGGGAGCAGGGGATCCCAACGGCTTGCGCTGCCTTTGCGCAGCAGCCGGCGGGCGGCCACGTCGCGGCCTGGCTGGGGTAGGAGAGGGCGGTCCCCAGTGCAGTTGGGTGAACTACCGTTGCACACTGGAGTTTCTGGTGTCTTTGCTTGGAACTGACCTAGCTCGTGGCAGGGGGAACTCGGCTAGCGGCCCCACAGCCCCTGCTGACTCAAAACAACTGTGAGTGGGGTTGGGCGAGTGATTGCAAAATGGGGGTGGCGGTCGCCCGGGGATAGGAAGGGAGTGATGATGACCCCAGGTAACTCTGAGTGTGTCGCTGATGCCATCACCGCAGCGCTCTGACCGCCCCCTCGGTCCAGCATTTCTCAGGCTCAACGAGTTCATGGCCAAGATTCCTAATCTTTTGTTCTGTTTCATTTCCCCGTTAGGAGTTGTAAGACGTTCATCGCCGTGTTATCCTTGAGTAAAGGTGAGTATTAGGTGCGAGAGCCTTTTGAATGCCTCTTCGGAAAGCTTTGTTCCCAAGCAAGCTTTCGTTCATGGGCATTATGCGCCTCCCTGCCCTTTTTTTTTTTTTTTTTTTGAGACAGTCTCGCCTTGTCACCCAGGCTGAAGTGCGGTGGCACGATCTCACTGCAACCTGCGCCTTCTGGGATCAAGCGATTCTCCTGCCTCAGCCTCCCGATTAGCTGGGATTACAGGCGCATGCCACCAAGCCTGGCTAATTTTTTGTATTTTTTAATAGATAAGGGGTTTCACTGTGTTAGCCAGGATGGTCTCGATCTGCTGACCTCGTGATCCGCCCCTCTCGGCCTCCCAAAGTGCTGGGATTACAGGCGTGAGCCACCGCGCCCGGCCTTTTTTTTTTTTTTTTTTTTAAGACAGCCTCCCTGTCACCCTGGCTGGAATGCAGTGGCAAGAACACAATTCAGTGCGGCCTTCAACTCCCGGGTTTAACCGATTCTCCCACCTTAGCCAATTTTTTCCTTTTTTTTTTTTTTTTTGAGATGGAGTCTTGATCTTGTTGCCCGGGCTGGCAATGGTACGATCTCCCTGCAACCTCTGCCTCCCGGGTTCAATCGATTGTCCTGCCTCAGCCTGCCGATTAGCTGGGACTACAGGCCCGCGCCACCACACTCGGCTAATTTTTCTGTTTTTAGTAGAAGGGGTTTCACCATGTTGGCCAGGATGGTCTCCATCTCCTGACCTCGTGAGCCGCTGTGCCCGGCCACTTTTTCTTTTTTGAGCTATAATCCATGTACCACAGGTGGTGACTTCCATTTGTTTGTTTTTGCTATTTTGTTTTTGAGACAGGGCGCAATGCCAGGATCTCCCTGCAACATCCACCGTCAGGGCTCAAGTGGTCTTTCCACCTCAGCTTCCTGGGACTGCAGGCACGTGCTACCACCACGCCTGGCTAATTTTTAGTTTTTTTACAGAAGCGGGCTTTTGCCATGTTGTCCAGGCTGGTCTCTACTCCTGGGCTCAAGCAGTCCTCCTGCCTCAGTCTCCCAAAGTGCTGGAATTACAGGGGTGAGTTGCTGCGTCTGGTGTTGGTGACTTTCTAGAGATTACTTTTTGGTTTACATCATTTTCCTTGTGACTATTTTTACTTTTTTGGGGGGCGGGGGGACAGTCTTACTCTTTTTAGTTTACATCATTTTCCTTGTGACTATTCTATTTTTACTTTTTTAGGGGGCGGGGGGACATGAGTCTCACTCATGTTGGTCAGGCTGGTCTCAAACTCCTGACCTCAGTTGATCCACGCCCTTCGGCCTCCCAAAGTGCCGGGATTACAGGCGTGAGCCACTTTGCCCGGCCTGTATTTTTACGTTTTAATAAATCCCCGTATTTTTGTTAAAGGCTGGGTAACCTGACTCCTCCCCTCATTTCTACTGCAAAATAGGAGTACACTGGGGCCTCCCAGTGGAGCTGTTCTCTGCTGTTTTAAATTACTTTCTACTCCTCCCTTTCTAACGTCCACTCCTGGACTCATTTGTTAGATCAATATATACTGGGACTGTTGTGTTTTCTTTGAGTGTACTAGATCTCTTTCCAGAAGAGCTTCCCTTGATCCAGATCTCCCTAATTGGGAATGATGATTTCACAGACTAGAGTCTCCGATGCTGGTCATGATGTCAAAACTAAGTTCTGACTCATTTAGGGAACTGGATACTTGGGTCTCCAGAAGGGCCAATGGGAGGGCCATAATTCTGTTTATTTTCAAATTGTCTTGTTTTCACCTTGTTAGAATGAACTCTGGAAGCCCAGCCAGGGACAATGCACCTTCACAGAGATTCTGCACTAATCTGAGTGAAGGTCTAAGGTTTGGAATCTCCCCCTCATGGAGAGAAGCTTTGTATGGCTGTCATGCTTAGACAGTGATTCCTGCAACTTGACCTTCAGGCTGGGAGAGGTGGAGAGCCATGCCTGTTCTCCTTCCTTGCTATGGTGAGTATCTTTTGTTTTGGCTCTCAGTGGGAGTGGTAATGATGATCTGGTTGGACAAGAGTCTCTGAGCTTTTCTCTGAGGATCTTTGAACCCACCTGATCCACCTTCATCCTGCCGGCAATCTCCTGTAATTCATGTTTTTATGGCCAGTTACTTACATGATGAGGTTTAATTGGCTATGGTTCTGCAGGATGTACAGGAAGCATGGTGTTGGCATCTGCTCAGCCTCTGGTGGGGGCCTCAGGAAACTATATTGCATAAGGTACAGAGGGAAGCAGGGATGTAGCATGGCCAGAGCAGCAGCAAAGGCAGGGAGGTGCCACACATTTTTAATAAATTGATCTCTAGAGAACTGACTGTCATGAGCACAGCATCAAGGAGGATGGTGCTTAAGCCATTCATGAGGAATCCACCCCAGTGATCCATTACAATTCAATATGAGATTTGGTGGGGAGACAGATCTAAACTGTATTACAGGGTCTCACTTTGTGCACAGGCTGGTCTTCAACTCCTGCCTCAGTGAGCCACTGTGCCCCACCCCAACATGTTTTGTGTGTTTTTTGAGACTGTCTTGCTCTGTCATCCAGGCTGGAGTGCAGTGGTACACTCTTGGCTTACTGCAGCCTCTGCCTCCCAGGTTCAAGCAATTCTGCCTCAGCCTCCCAAGTAGCTGGGATTACAGGCATGCGCCACCAGTCCCGGCTAATTTTTGTATTTTTAGTAGAGGGTTTCACCATGTTGGCCGGGCTGGTCTTGAACTCCTGACCAAGAGATCTGCCCACCTTGACCTCCCAAAGTGCTCAGATTACAGGTATTAGCCACCGAGCCCAGCCCGCAACATGTATTTTTATTTATTTTTTGTTTGAGATGGAGTTTCACTTTGTCGCCCAGGCTGGAGTGCAGTGGCACATTCTCAGCTCATTGTAACCTCAGCCTCCCGAGTACTTGGGATTACAGGCATGCGCCACCATGCCCAGCTAATTTTGTATTTTTAGTAGAGATGGGAGTTTTCACCATGTTGGTCTTGAACTCCTGATCTCAGGTGATTTGCCCGCCCTAGCCTCCCAAAGTGCTGGGATTACAGGTGTGAGCCATAGCATCTGACAATTTTATTCTATTTTTTGAGACAGTCTTGCTCTGTCACCCAGGCTGGAGTGCAGTGGTGCAGTCACAGCTCACTGCAGCCTCAACCTCCTGGGTGGAAGCTCACCTCTCACCTCACCCTTGGAGTAGCTAATGACTTACAGGCATGCACCACTATCCCCGGCTAATTTTTTTTTTTTTAAATTTGAGGATGGGTGTGGTGGCTCATGCCTGTAATCTCAGCTCTTTGGGAGGCCAAGGTGGGTGGATCACCTGAGGTCAGGAGTTGAAGACCAGCCTGACCAACACCGTGAAACCCTGTCTACTAAAAATACAAAAATTAGCTGGGCATGGGTGGCGGGCGCCTGTAATTCCAGCTACTTGGGAGGCTGAGGCAGAAGAATCGCTTGAACCTGGGAGGTGGAGGTTGCAGTGAGCTGATATGGCGCCATTGCACTGCGCCATTGCACTTCACCCTGGGCAACAGAGCAAGACTCCATCTCAAAAAAAAAAAGCTGTAGATAATGGGGTCCCACTATGGTGCTCAAGCTGGTCTGAAACTCCTGGGCTCAAGTGATTGTCTTGCCTTGGCCTCCGAACACTTCTGCCTTGGCCTCCCAAAGTGTTGGAATTGACAGGCGTGAGCTGCCATGCCCAGCCTCAGCTTTTATTGTAGATTTAGGGGGTATATGTGCAGTTTTGTTACTTGGGTTCATTGTATGATGCTGAGGTTTGGGGTAGGATTATCCCCATCACCCAGGTAGTGGGCATAGTACCCAATAGTTATTAAACCTTTGCCCCATTTCCTCTCCCCAGTGTCTGTTGCCATCTTTATGTCCATGTATACTCAACATTTAGCTCCCACTTACAAGTAAGAACATATGGTATCTGGTTTTCTGTTCTGTATTGATTCACTGAGGATCATGGCCTGTGGTTGCATCCATGTTGCTGCAAAGGATATGAAATCGTTTTTTTATTGGTGCATCTCATATGGTTCTAATGTTCTTTTTATTATTTTTCAGGAATTTGCTGACACAATATCTTCCGCCTGGTGCTGGGCATATCCTAAGAACTTACAACTTTCCTGTATTATCCTGTGTGAGCAGCTGTCACCTTATTGGGGGAAAAATGCCTGAAAATTAGGGGGCACTTCAAGTAGATAGCTTCTATTTCCTATATTTGTCTTATATACAAGTATTTGCTTTTATCAAAATAATTCCAATAAAGCATTTTAAAGTAAAGAAGACGTGGTTTGGTCTCAGAACAATGGTACAAAAAGATTAAGGGGGCTGGGCGCAAGTTGCTCATGCCTATAATCCCAGCACTTTGGGAGGCCGAGGTGGGTGGATCACAAGGTCAGGAGATTGAGATTATCCTGGCCAACATGGTGAAACCCTGTCTCTACTAAAACAAAGGACAAAAATTAGCTGGGTGTGGTGATACATACCTGTAATCCCAACTACTCGGGAGGCTGAGGCAGGAGAATGGCTTTGAACCAGGGAGTCCAAGGTTGCAGTGAGCCGAGATCGTGCCACTGCACTTCCAGCCTGGCGACAGGCTCCGTCTTAAAAAAAAAGAAAGATGAAGCCCCGTGAGCTAGTTAATGCTGAGTTAGGCTTAACTCTTAAGCCTAATATTAGAGATTCTTGGTTGGGTGACATAGTATTATGTATAATACACTAGACTTTTGACAATCATTTGAGATGGTTTTTCTGGCAGGGGAGGAGGTGGAGTTTCGCCCTTGTTGCCCATGCTGGAGTGCAATGGCAAAATCTCGCCTCACTGCAACCTCTGCATCTTGAGTTCAAGTGATTCTCCTGCCTCACAGCCTCCTGAGTAGCTGGGATTACAGGCGCCTGGCACCTCCCCTAGCTATTTTTTGTACTTTTAGTAGAGACAAGGTTTCACCATGTTGGCCAGGCTGGTCTCGAACTCCTGACCTCAGGTGATCCACCCACCTCAAGCCATCCGCCTGCCTCAGCCTCCCAAAGTGTTGGGATTACAGGTGTGAGCCACTGTGCCTGGCCGAATTTGAGTTTTTTTTAATGATTGTAAAGTGTCCACGGCTACCCAATTAGCCATCTTTTTTTTTTTGAGACAGTTGCACCTTGTCACCTGGGCTGGAATATAGTGGCGCAGTTTGGGTTCACTGCAGCCTCTCCCCGGGTTCAAGTGATTTTCGTGCCTCAGCGTTCCCAGTAGCTGGGGCTACAGCTGCACACCTTATTTTTGTATTTTTTGAAGAGATAGGGGTTTCACCATATTGGCCAGGGTGGTTTCGAACTCCTGACCTCAAATGATGTGCCTGGCCAGAACATTACCAATAACTTTGAAACAAACCTGTCTGATTCAATTTCTCTTTTTCTTCTTCCTACTTGGAGAATTAACTGGGTATATCATCCTCTGGCTTTTCTTAATAGTTTTACTGAGTGCATTGCTAAACAATATCATTTTAATTTTGCGTATCTTTTGAACTTTGTAAAAATGGAATGATTCACCAGACACGAGACAACATTTTTCTTTTTTGGGGGGATGGAGTCTTGCACTGTCGCCCAGGCTAGAGTGCAGTGGCGTGATCTCGACTCATACTGCAATCTCTGCCTCCCAGGTTCACCCCATTATTCTGCCTGGGCCTCCCAAATCACTGGGACTACAGGTGCCCGCCACCATGCCCCGCTAATTTTTTGTATTTCTAGTAGAGATGGGGGTTTCACCATGTTGGCCAGGCTGGTCTCGAACTCCCGACCTTGTGATTTGCCCACCTTGGACTCCCAAAGTGCTGGCATTACAAACAGCCACCATGCTGGCCCATTTTTCATTTTTCAAAAAGAATAAATCTTCATGTGTTCTACTGCAACTTTCTGCTTTTCTGGGGGGCGGGGGGGACAGAGTCTTGCTCTGTCGCCAGGCTGGAGTGCAGTGGCGCGATAGCTCACTGCAACCTCCACCTCCCAGGTTCAAGCGATTTCTCCTCCCTCAGCCTCCCGAGTAGCTGGGACCACAGGCGCGCACCACTATGCCCAGCTAATTTTTGTATTTTTACTAGAGACGGGGTTTCACCACATTGGCCAGGGTGGTCTCCAACTCCTAGCCTCACCGTCCGCCCGCCTCGGCCTCCTGAAATGCTGGGATTACAGGCGTGAGCCACCACGCCTGACATTTACTTATTTCATTTATCTTTGAGATGGAGTCTCGCTCTGTCGCCCAGGCAGCATGTAGTGGCGCGATCTCGGCTCACTGCAAGCTCTGCCTCCCAGGTTCAAGCCATTCTCCTGCCTCAGCCTCCGGAGTAGCTGGGACTACAGGTGCCCGGCTAATTTTTTTGTATTTTTAGTAGAGACGGGTTTCATTGTGTTAGCCAGGATGGTCTTGGATCTCCTGACCTCGTGATCCGCCCGCCTTGGCCTCCCAAAGTGCAGGGATTACAGGCGTGAGCCATCGCGCCCAGCCTTTTTTGTTTTTTGAGACATAGTTTTGCTCTTGTTCCCCAGGCTGGAGTGCAGTGGCACTATCTTGGCTCACCACAACCTCTGCCTCCTGGGTTCAAGCGATTCTCCTGCCTTAGCCTGCCAAGTAGCTGGGATTATATGCCACCACGCCCGGCTAATTTTGTATTTTTATTAGAGATGGGGTTTCTCCATGTTGGTCGGGCTGGTCTCCCGAACTTAGGTGATCCGCCAGCCTCAGCCTCTGAAAGTGAAAGTGCTGTGATTCTAGGCCAGAGCCACCACACCTGGCCTGCAACTTTTGTTGTTGTTCATGTATTTTCCTGTAGTTCATTTGTAGTCCACCCTTCCATACACATTTGTGGACATAAAAAACTTCAGGGCCTGGCATGGTGGCTCATGCCCGTAATCGCAGCTGAGGCGGACAGATCACCTGAGGTCAGGGGTTAGGGACCAGCCTGGCCAACATGGTGAAACCCCATCTCTACTAAAAAAAATATAAAAAAGGGCCAGGCTCACGCCTGTAATCCCAGCACTTTAGGAGGCCGAGGCGGGCAGATCACGAGGTCAGGAGATCAAGACCATCCTGTCTAACACGGTGAAACCCCGTCTCTACTAAAAATACAAAAATCAGCCGGGCGTGGTGGCGGGCGCCTGTAGTCCCAGCTCCTCGGGAGGCTGAGGCAGGAGAATGGCGTGAACCCGGGAGGTGGAGCTTGCAGTGAGTCAAGATCCCGCCACTGCACTCCAGCCTGCGCGACAGAGTGAGACTCCATCTCAATTAGGGCCAGGCATGGTGGCTCACGCCTGTAATCCCAGCACTTTGGGAGGCCGAGGCAGGTGGATCACCTAAGGTCAGGAGTTCGAGACCAGCCTGGCCAACATGGCAAAACCCTGTCTCTACTAAAAATACAAAAATAAATTAGCCAGGTGTGGTGGCACACGCCTGTAATCCCAGCGACTCGGGAGGCTGACGCAGGAGAATCACTTGAACCTGGCAGGCGGAGGTTGCAGTGAGCTGAGATCATGCCATTATGCTCTAGCCTGGGCAACAAGAATGAAACTACATCTCAAAATACATACATACATACATACAGTTAACCGAGCATGGTGGCATGCGCCTGTAAGCCCAGCTACTTGGGAGGCTGAGGCATGAGAATCGCTTGAACCTGAGAGGTGGAGGTTGCAGTGAACCAAGATGGCACCACTGCACTCCAGCCTGGGTGACAGAGTGAGACTGTTTCAAAAAGATTCAGGAGCCAGACTGAACACTTACTGCTAGGTTAACTTTGGCTAAGTTCCTCAGTGATTCCCATAACAATTTCCTTGTTTGTAAATAGATAACAGAGTTCCTACCCACCCTCTTTTTTTTTTTTTCTTCAGTAGTAGAGATAGGGTTTCACCATGTTGGCCAGGCTGGTCTCAAACTCCTGACTCCAGGTGATTCACCCACCTCCCAAAGTGTTGGGATTACAGGTGTGAGCCACTGCACCGGGCCTACCCTCTCTTTTTTTTGAGACAGGGTGTCACTGTTGCCCAGGCTCGAGTACAGTGGCAAGATTACAGCTCACTACAGCCTTGACCTCCTGGGCTCAAGTGATCCTCCCACCTCAGCCTCTGAAGTAGCTGGAACTACAGGTGCTCCATCATGCCCAGCTAATTTTTTTTTCTTTTTGAAAGAGAATCTTGCTTTGTCGCCCAAGTTGGAGTGCAGTGGTGCAATCTCGGCTCACTGCAAGCTCCACCTCCTGGGTTCACACCATTCTCCTGCCTCAGCCTCCCGACTAGCTGGGACTACAGGCACCCACCACCACGGCCAGCTAATTTTTTGTATTTTTAGTAAAGATGGGGTTTCACCGTGTTAGCCAGGATGGTTTCGATCTCCTGACCTCGTGATCCACCTGCCTTGGCCTCCCAAAGTGCTGGGATTACAGGCGTGAGCTACCGTACCTGACCTTTTTTTTTTTTTTTTGAGACGGAGTCTTGCTCTGTCACCCAGGCTGGAGTGCAGTGGCGCGATCTTGGCTCACTGCAAGCTCTGCCTCTCAGGTTCACGCCATTCTCCTGCCTCAGCCTCCCGAGTAGCAGGAACTACAGGTGCCAGCCACCACGCCTGGCTAATTTTTTTGTATTTTAGGTAGAGACGAGGTTTCACCGTGTTAGCCAGGATGGTCTCGATCTCCTGACCTCATGATCTACCTGCCTCGGCCTCCCAAAGTGCTGGGATTACAGGTGAGCCACCGCGCCCAGCCATGCCCAGCTAATTTTTAAATTTTTTATACAGTGAAGGTTTCACTATATTGCCTGACTGGTGTCTAACTCCTGAAATCAAATGATCTACCTGCTTTGGCCTCCCCAAATGCTGAGATTACAAGCTTGAGCCACCAAGCCCGGCCTATCCCGTCTCTAACAAAAAAGAAGCATAGTGCGGTGGCTCACACCTGCAACCCCAGCACTGTGGGAGGCCATGGTGGGCAGATCTCTTGAACCCAGGAGTTTGAGACCAGTCTGCCTGGGCAACACGGTGAAATCCAGTTCCTACAAAAAATTTTAAAAATTAGCCGGTTGTGATGGCATGCCGTGGTTCAGCTACTTGGGAGGCTGAGATGGGAGAATTGCTTGAGCCCTGGAAGTTGAGGCTGCAGTGAGCCATGATTGTGCCACTGCACTCCAATCTGGGCAACAGAGTGAGCCTTATCTCTAAATAAATAAATGAAGAGGTAGAGTCATGCTCTGTTGCCCAGGTCTGACTTGAACTCCTGGGCTGAAGTGATCCTCCCGCCTCAGCTTCCTCAGTAGCTGGGGCAACAGGCATATGCCACCATACTCAGCTTTGTTGGTTTCATTTCTTGTCCCCAAGGGTCTCTTCTGCATTCCCCTGCCCTTTGTATGGTTCAAGTCCTCCCCTGTGTGGTGGGTGCTAATCCCAGGTTTGGGGTATAAGACTGAGCTACAGCCATGGTAAGATGGTCACGTGAACTTCTTTTCTCACACAGTGGTGATGCTGAAAGACCTCAACCCCAAAATGCTATTTTCCTCATTTCTTTTTTTTTTTTTTTGAGACGGAGTCTCGCTCTGTCGCCCAGGCTGGAGTGCAGTGGCGCGATCTCGGCTCACTGCAAGCTCCGCCTTCCGGGTTCACGCCATTCTCCTGCCTCAGCCTCCCGATTAGCTGGGAATACAGGCGTCCACCACTACACCCGGCTAATTTTTTGTATATTTAGTAGAGACGGGGTTTCACCGTGTTAGCCAGGATGGTCTCGATCTCCTGACCTCGTGATCCACCCGCCTTGGCCTCCCAAAGTGCTGGGATTACAGGCGTGAGCCACCGCCGGCCTATTTTCCTCATTTCTTTAGGCCCCATTTCCATACCAGGAGTGGAGCAACTTCAGTAATAAACAGTCCTCCTTCCCATCCTCCCAGGCTGAACTCCCCAGCTTGCAGTTACTCTAATAGCGGCTAGCCTGCTACTTCAGCTACTGTAGGCAGTGAGCCTCCTAAGGCTTGGCCTCAGCCTGTCTCCCCACAGAAATGGGAGACAAGAATCCTTGGAATCCTTACCCACTGGCCAGTGTGCTGGCCCTCCAGGTGACACCTCTACCTGCCAGTTGCTTAGGCTAGACCCTTGGAATCTGCCTGACTGCTCTCCTGTTCTCACATGCTACATCTAATTTGTCAGCAAATCATACTGTCTGTATCTTAGAAATGACACGAGGATCTGTGTCTCACACCTTTACTGCTGCTCCATCCTGGTGGGAGCCACCATTGGCTCTCACCTAGACAACTGCAACTGTCTCCTACCTGGTCTCCTGGCTTCCACTTTTGCCCGTTACAGGCTCTCTCCACACAGCAGCCAGAAGGTTCCTTCCAAATCAGGAGTCAGGTCATGTCTCCCCTCTTCTGAAGATCCTGTAACAGCTGCCATTTCACTCAGAGTAAAAGTCTCCATCTTACAAGGGCCACCCAACAAGGTCCTCCCAGTCTAGCTCTGTCAACTTTCTGACCTCATCTTCTACACCTGAGGTCAGGGGTTGGGGACCAGCCTGGCCAACATGGTGAAACCCCATTTCCACTCTGCTTCAGCCATGCTACAGAAACCCAGGAGCTGCTTGGAGCTCTTTTGTCAGTGTTCGAGGAGTAAAATTTCTACCCATTGGCCAGAGTCACAGCCGCAGGCTTTGTGGGGTACACCCAAACCTGCACCAACAGAACTCATGGATGAAATTTGCATCTTTTGGGTTGTGAGGAAATTCTAGAGCCCAGAAATAACCTTAAAAACTTTTGGGGCTGGGTGCAGTGTCTCATGCCTGTAATTCCAGCGCTTTGGGAGGCCGAAGCAGGTGGATCACTTGAGGCCAGGAGTTTGAGACCAACCTGGTCAACATGGCGAAACCCTGTCTCTACTAAAAATACAAAAATTAGCCAAGTGTGGTGGTGCACACCTGTAATCCCAGATACTCTGATGGCTGAGGCATGAGAATTGCTTGAACCCAGGAGGTGGAGGTTGCAGTGAGCCAAGATTGAACCCCTGCACTCCAGCCTGGGCAAAAGCATGAGACTCTGTCTCAAAAAAAACAAAACCAACAACTAGTGGTACGTAATGTTTACATATTAGTTGTATGTAACATTAATATATGTTTACATACTGGTAGTATGTAAGCATATGTAATGTGCCTGGCCTCTCATTTCTTATTTTTGCATGTCTGAAATATTTCTTAGTATCTTAAAAACATAGCTTGGGGGCTGGGTATGGTGACTCATGCCTGTAATCCCAGCACTTTGGGAGGCCAAGGTGGGAGGATCACCTGAGCCCAGGAGTTCGAGACCAGCCTGGGTAATATTGCAAGACACCATCTCTAAAAATAAAAACCAAAAAAAACAACAAAGATACACAATAAACAAGATAAACAGCAGACCAACTAAATGAAGAATTAGTGAGTTGGAGGGAGAAATAATCCATAATGTGGAGCAGAGAAATCAGAGGTGATATGAAAAGGAAGTTTTGAAACATGAAGGATGGAATGAGATACTCCAACTCCAGAGCTGCTTTGTTTTTGTTTTTGAGATGGGAGTCTTGCTCTGTTGCCCAGGCTGGAGTGCAGTGGCATGATCTCAGCTCACTGCAACCTACGCCTCCCAGGTTCAAGCGATGCTCCTGACTCAGCCTCCTGAGTAGCTGGGATTACAGGTGGTGCCACCACGTCTGGATAATTTTTGTATTTTTAGTAGAGACAAGGTTTCACCGTGTTGGTCAGGTTGGTCTTGAACTCCTGACCTTGTGATTCACCTGCCTCGCCCTCCCAAAGTGCTGGGATTACAGGCGTGAGCCACTGCACCCAGCCTACTTTGTTTGTTACATGGATTTGTTACCTGCAGCCAGAACAGCCACAGAGCCATCATGAGCTCTGCTGCCCAATGGCGTACAGGGGTACCTGGTTTTTAGCATCTCAGGCCCATCTGTTAGTTTGTTGATTGTAGTACTTTCTTTTCATTAGCATTCTACTTTCCCATGACTTTTTTTGGGGGGGAGTGGGGTGGACAGGGTCTCACTGTGTTGTCCAGGCTGTAGTGCACTGGAGCCATCTTGGCTCACTGCAGCCTCTGCCTCCTGAGCCACCAAGCCTGGCTGTTTTTTTTTTTTTTTTTTTTAATTCTTGTGTTATTTTCCAAAGACTATATAAAGAAACAAATTATCCTAAGGGTTAAAGTACCTGCTGACTCTTGAAATGTTAAACTTTATTGCCTCCAGTCAGGTGAACCTCAGGTGGAAGTGGGTCACATTCTAGGCTGGCTGTTGCCTGTCTTAAATTCTAAAGAATGTAGTGAAGATAAAGGTGTCAGCTGATAATCCCCAGTTATTTACTGATGGCAGATAATAAACTGGGAAGGGGGAGCCTTCTTCAAAGGGCCTTGCAGCATTAGCTGGTACCACCTTGAAACAGGGAGCAAGTCCCATCTCCTAGTGCCACCCAGGGAATACCTGTGCTCCACACTGGGTTGATTGCCTCTAAAAGAGGCAGAGGAACTGTTATAAAACAAAAAAAAAAACTTTTAAAAGTTTTGGTTGGGCGTGGTGGCTAATGTCTGTAATCCCAGTACTTTGGGAGGTCAAGGCAGGAGGATTGCTGGAGTGCAGGAGTTTGAGGCCAGCCTGGGCGGAGACCACTTCTCTACAAAATTAAAAAATTAGGTGTACTCCCAAGCACCTGTAGTCCCAGCTACTTGGGAGGCTGAGATGGAAGGATCACTTGAGCCCAGAAGGTCGAGGCTACAGAGCCATGATTGTTCCACTCACTGCTCTCCGGCCTGTGCGACAGACCAAGACCCTGTATCTAAAAGGAAGAAAAAAGAAAATTGGCAAAAACAATGATATTAGCATCTGTATGTACTTATATTTGGTAGGATCATTTCAAAGTATATTAAAGAGATTATGACATTTTATCCCTTTGTATTTGAGTATGCATCTCCAAAAAATAAGGATGTTCATCTGCATATTCACAATACTATTATACCTGAGAAAAGCAAATTTAATTCCCTAATAGCACTTAATATTCAGGCCAGTTACCATGGCTCACACCTGTAGTCCCAGCACTTTGGAAGGCCGAGGTTGGTGGATTGCTTGAGCCCAGGAGTTCAAGACCAGCCTGGGCAACATGTCGAGACCTCGTGTCTTCAAAAAATACAAAAATTAGCAGGTGTGGTGGCACACACCTGTGGTTCCAACCACTCATGGGGCTGAGGTGGGAGGACTGCTTGAGCCTGGGAGGTCAAGGCTGAAGTGAGCTATGATTGCAGTACTGCACTCCAGGCTGGGTGACAGAGTGAGACCCTGTCTTTAAAAGAAGTGTGTTGTTGAGCACAGTGGCTCACGGCTGTAATCCCAGCACTTTGGGAGGCGGAGGCAGGTGGATCACCTGAGGTCAGGAGTTTGAGACCAGCCTGGCCAACATGGAGAAACCCCATCGCTACTAAAAATACAAAAATTAGCCGGGTGTGGTGGTGAACACCTGTAATCCCAGCTACTCTTGAGAATCTGAGGCAGGAGAATTACTTGAATCTGGGAGTCGGAGGTTGCA
Organism: Homo sapiens; assembly: GCF_000001405.40. Classification (NCBI taxonomy): domain Eukaryota; kingdom Metazoa; phylum Chordata; class Mammalia; order Primates; family Hominidae; genus Homo; species Homo sapiens. Next base: position 3,104,879 of record NT_167248.2, read on the forward strand.
GTGAGCCGAGATCATGCCACTGCACTCTAGCCTGGGTGACAGAGCGAGACTCTGTCTCAAAAAAAAAAAAAAAAAAAAGTGTGTGTGTGAGTGTGGCTGGGGGGAGAGAGTGAGAGAGTAGAGGAGGAAAAAGTTTAAAACAGTTTGGGAGTTTGGAGAGTTTTTCGTGAAACACAGACTCATCAACCTTTTTATTTTTTCACTCTAATTTTTTTTTTCTTCAGACAGAGTCTTGCTCTGTTTCCCAGGCTGGAGTGCAGTGGCACCATCTCAGCTCACTGCAAGCTCTGCCTTCCAGGTTCACTCCATTCTCCTGCTTCAGCTTCCCAAGTAGCTGGGACTACAGGCTCCCGCCACCACGCCCGGCTAATATTTTGTATTTTTAGTAGAGACAGTGTTTCACCGTGTTAGCCAGGAGGTCTGGATCTCCTGACCTTGTGATCCGCCCGCCTTGGCCTCCCAAAGTGCTGGGATTACAGGCATGAGCCACCGTGCCCGGCCTAAAAAAATTTTTTATAAAAGTATTTGACCTAATGTGCTGTGGGTTTCTTATTTGTTTGTTTTTGAGACAAGTTTCTTGCCCTGTCGCCCAGGTTTGAGGGCAGTGGTGCGGTCTTGGTGCACTACAGCCTCTACCTCCTGGGCTCAAGTGACCCTCTCACCTCAGCTTCCCATGTAGCTGAAACTACAGGTGTGGGCCACTGCCCCAGCTAATTTTTAAATTTTTTGTAGAGATGAGGTCTTGCCATGTTGCCCAGGCTGGTCTCAAACTCCTGGGCTCAAATGATCTGCCCGTCTTGGCCTTCCAAAGTACTGGGACTGGGATTACAGGCATGTAATTACCGCCTCTGGCCAGCTTTTTTTTTTTTTTTTTTTTTTTGAGACAGAGTCTCGCTCTTGTTGCCGAGGCTGGAGTGCAGTGGCGTGATCTCGGCTCACTTCAGCCTTCCCCTCTCGGGTTCAAGCGATTCTCCTGCCTCAGCCTCCTCAGTAGCTGGCATTACAGGCATGCACTACCACGCCTGGCTAATTTTTGTATTTTTAGTAGAGACGGGGGTTTCACCATGTTGGCCAGGCTGGTCTTGAACTCCTGACCTCAGGTGATCCGCCCGCCTTGGCCTCCCCAAAGTGCTGGGTGGCGTGAGCCACTGTGCCCAGCCTAATTTTGTATTTTTAGTAGAGACTGGGTTTCTCCATGTTGGTGAGGCTGGTCTTGAACTCCTGACCTCAGGTGATTCGCCTGCCTTGGCCTCCCAAAATGCTGGGATTACAGACATGAGCCACCGCGCCCGGCCTCTTTTTTTTTTTTTTTTGGGACAGAGTCTCACTGTGTCACCAGGCTGGAGTGCAGTGGCATGATCTCGGCTTACTGCAACCTCTGCCTCCCAGGTTCAAGCGATTCTTCTGCCTCAGCCTCCCGAGTAGCTGAGACTACAGGGGCATGCCACCACACCCAGCTAATTTTTGTATTTTTAGTAGAGACCAGCCTGGTCAACATGGTGAAAACCCATCTCTACTAAAAATACAAAAAATTAGCCAGGTGTGGTGGTGGGCACCTATAATCCCAAATACTCAGGAGGCTGAGGCAGGAGAATCACTTGAACCTGGGACACGGAGGTTGCAGTGAGTTGAGATCACGCCACTGCACTCCAGCCTGCCTGGGCAACAGAGCAAGACTCTGTCTCAAAAAAAAAAAAAAATCCCAGAGTATTAGGAAAAGGAAGACCTATACTTCTACTATGGTAATTTGAGTCTGTTGTGGTTTTGTTGTTGTTGTTGTTGTTGTTGGAAAGATGTCCAAGCCATTGCTTTGATCTTCCTTCCCAATCCTTTCTTGGGCAAAAATTATTAGATGGCTATGGGTGGGCAGGCCTGTAACTCTAGCACTTTGGGAGGCCGAGCGGGTGGGGTGGTCAAGGATCACTTGAGCCCAGGAGTTTAAGACCAGCCTGGGCAACATAGTGGGACCCTGTTTCTACAAAAATGAAAATATTAGCTGGGCTTGGTGGCAAGTGCCTGTAGTCCCAGCTACTCAGGAGGCTGAGGTGGGAAGATTGCTTGAACCCAGGTGGTCAAGGTTGCAGTGAGCTGTGATCATGCTACTGCACTCCAGCCTGGGTGACAGAGTAAGACCCTGTCTCAAAAAAAAAAAAAAAATACTTTTTCCTATTCCCTCCTTGTCATGACTTTTGGTTGGAAGGATTACATTAGCAAAAAAGTATCCATGGTCCCTGGTCCCTGGTATTTGCTGTTCAGGTCAGTGTTCATTGTTACTGTCTCTTTCCCTTATTTAAGGGACAGCTGAGAAGACAGAGAGAGCTTGAGCTGGTTTGATCCTAAGCAAAGGGGCTGGGAGTGGGGATCAATGTGTGAAGGGAAGGAGGGCCATGCAAGGTGAAAGGGGATGTTGGGGAAAGGGTTTCATGCTAGAATTTGGCTGCTGATCCAGCGGGCACTCACCAGGCAATGATGTGCAAAGTCCACCGTAAAAAGAAAACAAAACTTCAGGACTCTAAGTTTATGCCAAGATGGAAGTTAAGCCTTGGAGACTGAATCATGTAGCATGTTTGCAATTCTGCTTCTTACAGACTCTCCTCCACATTGCTCTTGTTCTGTAATGAGACCTCCTTTCCAATCACTGATCTTTGTTGTAGATTAACTGCCTCCTTTATTGTCCTGTACCTGACTCAGACCAGATGGCACCCAAGACCCCATGACTATTGCATCTTCAGTGTGGAATGTAAAAAACACCTTCCCCCACCCCCCAAAAAAGAAAAAAAAAAATTGACTAATCAGATCATTGTAACTATGCAATAAGCCTTACCATAGAACTGAGAGTTGACAGCGTGCTGACAGCCCTCGCAGCCCTTGCTGGCTCTCGGCGCCTCCTCGGCCTTGGCGCCCATTCTGGCCGCGCTTGAGGAGCCCTTCAGCCCGCCACTGCACCGTGGGAGCCTTCTCTGGGCTGGCCGAGGCCGGAGCCGGCTCCCTCGGCTTGCGGGGAGGTGTGGAGGGAGAGGCGCGGGCGGGAACCGGGGCTGCACGCAGCGCTTGTGGGCCAGCGCAAGTTCCGGGTGGGCGTGGGCTCGGCTGCCCCGCTCTTGGAGCGGCAGGCTGGCCCACAAGCCCCGGGCAGGGCAGTGAGGGGTTTAGCACCTGGGCCAGCAGCTTGCTGTGCTCGATTTCTCACGGGGCCTTAGCTGCCTCACCACAGGACAGGACTCAGGACCTGCAGCCCGCCATGCCTGAGCCCCAACCCCGCCGTGGGCTCCTGTGCTGCAGAGCCTCCCCGACGAGCGCCACCCCCTGCTCCACGGCCCCCAGTCCCATCAACCTCCCAAGGGCTGAAGAGCGCAGGCGCATGGGGCAGGACTGGCAAGCAGCTCCACCTGCGGCCCCAGTGCGGGATCCACTGGGTGAAGCCAGCTGGGCTCCTGAGTGTGGTGGGGACTTGGAGAACCTTTATGTCTAGCTAAGGGATTGTAAATACACCAATCGGCACTCTGTATCTAGCTCAAGGTTTGTAAATATACCAATCAGCATCCTGTGTCTAGCTCAGGGTTTGTAAATGCACCAATCGACACTGTATCTAGCTAATCTAGTGAGGACATGGAGAACTTTTGTGTCTAGCTCAGGGATTGTAAACGAACCAATCAGCACCCTGTCAAAATGGACCAATCAGCTCTCTGTAAAACGGACCAATCAGCTCTCTGTAAAATGGACCAATCAGCAGGATGTGGGTGGGGCCAGATAAGGGAATAAAAGCAGGCTGCCTGAGTGAGTAGTGACATCCCGCTCTGGTCATTTTCCATAGAGTGGAAGGTTTGTTATTTCCGTCTTTGCAATAAATTTTATTGCTATTTGTTCTTTGGGTCCACACTACTTTTATGAGGTGTAACACTCACCGCAGGGGTATGCAGTTTCACTCCTGACGCTAGCGAGAGCACGAACCCCCCGGGAGGAACAAACAACTCCAGAGGCGCCGCATTTAAGAACTGTAACACTCCCCGTGAGGGTCTGCGGCCTCATTCTTTAAATCAATGAGACCAAGAACCCACCAATTGTGAACACAGAACAATGTTGAAATTCTAAGTTTCCATAAACTTTCTGTTTATATAAGCGATTCCAAACTTCTACACTTTTGGAACATAGACTAATATTCTTTGGAATCTTCAGCTCTAGACGGGCCACTTCCTCAACATTTGCAGTTGGATAAACTCTTTTTTTTTTTTTTTTTTTTTTTTAAATTTATTTTTTTATTGATAATTCTTGGGTGTTTCTCACAGAGGGGGATTTGGCAGGGTCATGGGACAATAGTGGAGGGAAGGTCAGCAGATAAACAAGTGAACAAAGGTCTCTGGTTTTCCTAGGCAGAGGACCCTGCGGCCTTCCGCAGTGTTTGTGTCCCTGATTACTTGAGATTAGGGATTGGTGATGACTCCCAACGAGCACCCTGCCTTCAAGCATCTGTTTAACAAAGCACATCTTGCACCGCCCTTAATCCATTTAACCCTGAGTGGACACAGCACATGTTTCAGAGAGCACAGGGTTGGGGGTAAGGTCACAGATCAACAGGATCCCAAGGCAGAGGAATTTTTCTTAGTGCAGAACAAAATGAAAAGTCTCCCATGTCTACTTCTTTCTACACAGACACGGCAACCATCCGATTTCTCAATCTTTTCCCCACCTTTCCTGCCTTTCTATTCCACAAAGCCGCCATTGTCATCCTGGCCCGTTCTCAATGAGCTGTTGGGCACACCTCCCAGACGGGGTGGTGGCCGCGCAGAGGGGCTCCTCACTTCCCAGTAGGGGCGGCCGGGCAGAGGCGCCCCTCACCTCCCGGACGGGGCGGCTGGCCGGGCGGGGGGGCTGACCCCCCCCACCTCCCTCCCGGACGGGGCGGCTGGCCGGGCGGGGGGCTGACACCCCCACCTCCCTCCCGGACGGGGCGGCTGGCCGGGCAGAGGGGCTCCTCACTTCCCAGTAGGGGCGGCCGGGCAGAGGCGCCCCTCACCTCCCGGACGGGGCGGCTGGCCGGGCGGGGGGGCTGACCCCCCCCACCTCCCTCCCGGACGGGGCGGCTGGCCGGGCGGGGGGCTGACACCCCCACCTCCCTCCCGGACGGGGCGGCTGGCCGGGCAGAGGGGCTCCTCACTTCCCAGTAGGGGCGGCCGGGCAGAGGCGCCCCTCACCTCCCAGACGGGGCGGCTGGCCGGGCGGAGGGCTGACCCCCCCACCTCCCTCCCGGACAGGGCGGCTGGCCAGGCGGGGGGCTGACCCCCCCACCTCCCTCCCGGACCGGGCGGCTGGCCGGGTGGGGGGGCTGACCCCCCCATCTCCCTCCCGGACGGGGTGGCTGGCCGGGCTGAGGGGCTCCTCACTTCCCAGTAGGGGTGGCCGGGCAGAGGCACCCCTCACCTCCCGGACGGGGCGGCTGGCCGGGCGGGGGGCTGACCCCCCCACCTCCCTCCCGGACGGCACGGCTGGCCAGGTGGGGGGCTGACCCCCCCACCTCCCTCCCGGATGGCACGGCTGGCCGGTCGGGGGGGCTGACCCCCCACCTCCCTCCCAGATGGGGCGGCTGGCCGGGCGGGGGGTTGACCCCCCCCACCTCCCTCCCGGACGGGGTGGCTGCCGGGCGGAGATGCTCCTCACTTCCCAGATGGGGTGGCTGCGGGGCGGAGAGGCTCCTCACTTCTCAGACGGGGTGGTTGCCAGGCAGAGGGTCTCCTCACTTCTCAGACGGGGCGGCCGGGCAGAGACGCTCCTCACCTCCCAGACGGGGTCTCGGCCGGGCAGAGGCACTCCTCACATCCCAGATGGGGCGGCGGGGCAGAGGCGCTCCCCACATCTCAGACGATGGGCGGCCGGGCAGAGACGCTCCTCACTTCCTAGATGTGATGGCGGCTGGGAAGAGGCGCTCCTCACTTCTTAGATGGGATGGCGGCCGGGCGGAGACGCTCCTCACTTTCCAGACTGGGCAGCCAGGCAGAGGGGCTCCTCACATCCCAGACGATGGGCGGCCAGGCAGAGACGCTCCTCACTTCCCAGACGGGGTGGCGGCCGGGCAGAGGCTGCAATCTCGGCACTTTGGGAGGCCAAGGCAGGCGGCTGGGAGGTGTAGGTTGTAGTGAGCCGAGATCACGCCACTGCACTCCAGCCTGGGCACCATTGAGCACTGAGTGAACGAGACTCTGTCTGCAATCCCGGCACCTCGGGAGGCTGAGGTTGGCGGGATCACTCGCGGTTAGGGGCTGGAGACCTGCCCGGCCAACACAGCGAAACCCCGTCTCCACCAAAACCAGTCAGGCATGGCGGCGCGTGCCTGCAATGGCAGGCACTGGGCAGGCTGAGGCAGGAGAATCAGGCAGGGAGGTTGCAGTGAGCCGAGATGGCAGCAGTACAGTCCAGCTTCGGCTCCGCATGAGAGGGAGACCGTGGGGAGAGGGAGACAGAGGGAGAGGGAGGGAGAGCCGGTGGATAAACTCTTTAAACTAGATTCTAAGCCTGGTACAGTGGTATGTGCCTGCAGTCCCAACTCTATCTACTCTAGGAGGCTGAGGCAGGAGGATCCCTTGAACTTCAGTCTGAATCTAACCTGGGCAACATGGCAAGACTCCATCTGTAAAAAGCAACAACACTAGATTCTCAGCTTTTGTTCGTTTGTTTAAGACAGTCTCGCTGTGTCTCCCAGACTGGAATGCAATGGTATGATCTTGGCCCACTGTAACCTCTCGCTCCCGGGTTCAAGCGATTCTCCTTCCTCAGTCTCCTGAATAGCTGGGACTACAGGCGCGACCCACAACACCCAGCTAATTTTTGTATTTTTGGTAGAGACGGGGTTTCGTCATGTTGACCAGGATGGTCTTGAACTCCTGACTTCAGGTGATTCGCTTGCCTCTGCCTCCCAAAGTGCTGGGATTATAGGTGTGAGCCACAGCGCCTGGCCTAGATTCTGAACTTTTTAATTATTATTTTTTAGATTGATAACACTTACCCCGATTTTTTTTTTTTTGAGGGAGAGTCTCGCTCCATAGCCCAGGCTGGAGTGCAGTGGCATGATTTCAACTCACTGCAATCTCCGTCTCCCAGGTTCAAGCGATTCTCCTGCCTTAGTCTCCTGAGTAGCTGGGATTGTAGGTGCCTGCCACAATGCCTGGCTAATTTTTTGAATTTTTAGTAGAGACAGTGTTTCACCATGTTGGCCAGACTGGTCTTGAACTCCTGACCTCAAGTGATCCCCCTTCCTCAGCCTCCCAAAGTGCTAGGATTACAGGCGTGAGCCACCGTGCCCAGCCAACTTGCCCCAATTTTTAAATAACTTATTTTATTTTATTTTTTAAATATTTCCTTGGCCGGGTGGGGTGGCTCACACCTGTAATCCCGGCACTTTGGGAGGCCGAGGCGGGCGTATTGCCTGAGGTCAGGAGTTCGAGACCAGTCTGGCCAACATGGTGAAACCGGGTCTCTACTAAAAATACCAAAAAATTAGCCGAGCGTGGTGGCAGGCGCCTGTAATCCCAGCTACTTAGGAGGCTGAGGCAGGGGAATTGCTTGAACCAGCGAGGCAGAGGTTGCGGGGAGCCAAGATTGCGCCACTGCACTCCAGCCTGGGCAACAGAGCAAGACTCTGTCTCAAAAAAAAAAAAAAAATTTCCTCACAGAGTAGAGCTAACTCATAAGCAGTGTGCCCAGAGTCGGCCCACTTTGTCCCATTAGTACAAACAAGCTCTTTCCCCTTTCAGTCTCCTGCCACTTGTCCCAATCTTTCCTGTGTATTTTTTTTTTTTTTTAAGATGAAGTCTTGCTCTGTCGCCCAGGCTGGAGGGCAGTGGCATAATCTCGGCTCACTGCAACCTCTGCCTCCCAGGTTCAAGTGAGTCTCCTGCCTCAGGCTCCCGAGTAGCTGGGACTACAGGCGTGTGCCACCACATATGGCTAATATTTGTATTTTTAGTAGAGATGGGGTTTTACCATGTTGGCCAGGCTGGTCTAGAACCCCTGACCTTGTGATCCGCCCACCTCGGCCTCCCAAAGTGCTGGGATTACAGGCGTGAGCCACTGCACCTGACCCTTCCCTGTGTATTAAAAGAAAAAAAAAAGCTGGAAAAAAAAGGTTCTTTAACTATTTCTGCAACTTTGACGTACATATAATTCATTTTAGCTGGACACTTGCACTTGTTTAAAAGTTCTGACCCTGGTTTTCAAACTTAAACGTATTACGAATCTCCCAGAAGGCTTGTTAATGCCTGGTGGCTCCAACACCAGAGCTTCAGATTCCATGGGTCTGTAAAGAGTGAGGGAGGGAAGGTCAAGCTTTTTTTCTTTCTTGAAGGTTTTTTGTTTTGGTTTGGTTTTTTGGAGATGAGGTCTCACTCTGTCACCTAGGTTGGTGTGCAGTGGTGCAATCATAGCTCACTACTGCCTCGAACTCCTGGGGTCAAAGAGATCAAGCCATCCTCCCATGTAGCTAGGACTATAGGTGTGCGTTACCATGCTTGGCTAATTTTTAAATTTTTTAGACATGGGGTATTGCCATGTTGCCCAGGATGCCCTTTAATTTGATCATCCTGCCTTGGTCTCCCGAAGTGCTAGCATTACAGATCTGAGCCACCACACCTAGCCAGGAAGGTAGTGTCTGTCTCTCAAGCCTCCCAGCACTTCTGTTTCTAACAGGTAGTAGTTCATGGGTCAGACATTCATAGTGTCCTTTCCTTTTTGTCTTCCACTATTTCTTTTTCTTTTTTTTTTTGAGCAAGGGCTCTCCCACTTACCTGCAGGCTGAACAGATTCTTTTCATAAGCATCTGCCTGGGGAATATTTTCTTACATAATTTGCCATAGGAAGTGCTCACTTCTCTGTCAGGCTAGCTGGGACAGGATTCCCATCTGCATTTCACACACTTGCACCCTATTTCATGGAGGATGGTATCCTACCCCATGTTAGAAATATAAAACAGCGTGGATTTTTTTTTTTTCAGACGGAGTCTCACTCTGTTGCCGAGGCTGGTGTGCAGTGCTGTGATCTCAGCTCACTGCAAACTCCGCCTCCTGGTTCAAGTGATTCTCCTGCCTCAGCCACCTGAGTAGCTGGGACTATAAGTGTAAGCCAACACGCCTGGCTAGTTTTTGTATTTTTAGTAGAGATGGGATTTCACCATATTGGCCAGGCTGGTCTCGAACTCCTGACCTTGTGATCCGCCCACCTTGGCCTCCCAAAGTGCTGGGATTATATGTGTGAGCCACCACGCTTGGCCAAGTGTGGATTTTAAAATATCTTACAGGCTGGGTGCAGGGGCTCAAGCCTGTAATCCCAGCACTTTGAGAGAACATGGCCGGCAGATTGCTTGAGCTCAGCAGTTTGAGACCAACCTAGGCAATATAGTGAGACTTTGTCTCTACTAAAAATTAAAAAAATCAGCCCGCCGGCACCATGGCTCATGCTTGTAATCACAACACTTTGGGAGGCCGAGGCGGGTGGATCACCTGAGGCCAGGAGTTTGAGACCAGCCTGGCCAACATGGTGAAACTCCGTCTCTACTAAAAATACAAAAATTAGCCGGGTGTGGTGGTGGGCACCTGTAATCCCAGCTATTCGGGAAGCTGAGGCAGAAGAATCGCTTGAACCTGGGAGGCAGAGGTTGCAGTGAGCCGAGATCGCACCACTGCACTCTAGCCTGGGTGCCAGAGCAAGACTCCATCTCAAAAAAAAAAAAATTAAATTAAAAAATAAATAAATAAAAAATAAAAAATATCTTATGGCACTCCCTTCATACTCATTACACCTGTGAAGATCAACCTGTTTCTCGGTGATAAGAAGGAATGTAGGCTGGGTGCGGTGGCTCATAGCTGTAACCTCAGCACTTTGGGAAGCTGAGGCATGAGGATTGCTTAAGCACAGGAGTTCCATACCAGCCTGGGCAACATAGCGCAACCTTGTCTCTACTGAAAATAAAAATTAAAAAAATTAACCAGGCATGGTGTCACTGACCTGTAGTCCCAACTACTCCGGAGGCTGAGACGTGAGGATCACTTGAGCCCAGGAGGTTGAGGCTTCAGTGAGCCGTGATTGTGCAACTGCACTCCAGCCTGGGTGACAGAGCGAGCCCTGTCTCAAAAAAAGCAACAACAAAAAAAGAGGGCATGTCAAAAGGAAAAGAGGATTTGATTTGCCAAAGTCAGATTTTCACAGGCAGTACGCACATCAGGTCTCTCCCCAGAACTCACCCAGGCTCACAAGGATACATGAGGAAAACAGACACGAAGATGTGCATTGACAGAACCATAGAGACTCTACAAATATTCATTATCCTTCATTAAAAATTTTAAGTTACAAACATTTTGATTGATAGTCAGTCATGGTGGTGCACCTAGTCCTTACTCTGAAACCAAATATCCTGCCATCTGGGGACTTTCACCAGCCCTGTCGGTTATCTTACCGCAACACCAAAGAGGAGGCTCAGCCTTCCCCAGTTCCCTGAGTTCACATTGATTCAATTCTACAGCTCACTAGACCTGCCCAAGACAGGACCAATCAATGTCCCGGGAGGGCAGAGAGGGTGGTGGGGCCACACTTAGCCATATGGAAAGACAGTATTCTCAGATGAGGGCAGGACTTTTTTGTGGGAGAGGACGCCTAGCTTTCAGTCCTAAAGGAAGTGATTTCCCTGGTAAAGGGAAGGTGATTTTGCCAAGGCTGGAGTCTAAAGGAAGATGGAACTGTCTTTCAGGCGTCTCCAGCAGACCCTCTACAGACCCGTGTTCCTGAAGGCAGAGTCCTGAAGGCAGAATACCCCTGTGGCAGTGGCACAGCTCAGAGTGTCCCATAGACACTGATTTTGGCCACGGAGATGCTCTCTGTGTAGTGGTTCCGGCCTTTCTCATACAGGACGTAGAGCTGGGGGGCCTGCTCCTCTCCATCCATGCTGCCCTCCAGGGTTGCCAGGGATGAATAGCCACTGGGGCCTGGCCATAGCTGGACTGTCTCTTTCCGCCATGAGGTACCATTGCTGAAGCTCCATCGCAGGGTCAGGTTCACTCCTGGGGAGAGCAGGAGAGTCAGGGAGAGAGGGTCTCTGCCCAGGCCTTGTCTAGACACAGGGCTCTCCCTGCTGACCCCACCCATGAGGCACTCACGGAACTCTGGATGTGCTGGGTTGGAGAAGAAGACAATGCCGGAGCTGGTGACTACAGCTCCTGCAGCTACCACAGGGTCCACGAGCTCAGGGTCGAAGGTCACATCACGGGGCCTTAGTGTATCACAGGCATCATAGCTGCGGAGGACAATTCGGCAGTGGCAGTGGTAGTTGTTCTGGTTTCGGGCATTGATGACGACTGAGCCATCTGGGAGCTCATAGGGCTGAGGGGAGAGGACAGGACCTCAGGGAGGGAACAGGGAAAATGCCCTGTCCCCGAGGGGAGCAAGGGTGTGTGGCACTGAGTGGAGCAGTCAGACCCTGGGTCTGTGCGTGAAATGATGTTCTGGAGGGCAGGGAGGGTCAAATGGGTAGGGAACATCTCATGGACTCCTGACCTGGCATTCATCAGGATTGAAATCATTTTCCTGCTTGGGCTGACCGTAGGGGATGCCGCTGACCCCACTTCCGTAGCGCCAGGAGGCACCATGATCATCGCTGAGGAGACAGAAGACTCCGTCCCGCTCCAGCGTCCCATGGCCACACACGATGAGGCGGCCCTTCCGTGGCTCCCGCTGTTTCTGTGGGAAAGGGAACTGGGTGTCACAGAAGGAGACTCTAGGGGCTCAGAGGCAGGGACAGAGAACCCACCACTTCCCAAATGCAATCACATGTATGGTCCCCTTGAGTTCAGCCCTTGCTCACTGAGGGTTCCAGTCAGATCCCATAAATACACACCCTGTTTGAATTAAGAAGCTCTCCCAGGGTGTACAGCTGGACATGTGCACCAGGGGCCCAGCCACAGGGTGCATGAGAGCTTAAACCCAACCTGTGCTCACTCGCCAAGCTGTGCACCCTGGCACAGGCTTGTGTCTGTCCAAAGAGGCAGTGCCTTTTTCTACTTTGCATGAGGGTATTGCATGGACTAACGCAGTCCTGTTGACAATGCCAAATGGGAAGCCAATGGCAGAGTTCCCTCTTCTCCTGATAATGTGTTCCTACCAGGATGCCCTGTCTTTCAAGGAATCCCACCCAAGCCAGAAAATCTGACTTCAGAGAATCTTCCCCTTGGAAAGGAGTCCATTTGGGGGTATCCCTCAGACTCTCCACAAGGCAGCCCCCTCCACCTATCTCCTAGGACAGAGACCTGAATACCAGAGCCCGGTCCAGGGGCAAACACTTCAGTGCCAATATCCAGGGAGAGATTCCGGGGTGTGCTCCAGGAAACACCATCATCCTTGCTCCATACCAACATGGTAGAGGCCACCTGGCAGCCGGCCTTGTGAGCACAAAGGGAGTAGAAAAGAAATACTACTCCTGTCTCAACATCGCTCACTACTGCCCCAAGGTTCAGCCCATCGGGGACATCCCCATCATTGACAATGAACGCTGTAGGAGACCATGTGCTGCCTGAAAAAAATTGGAGGAAGAAACCCAGAGTGAGCACTCTGCAGGTACCCTTTCTACCACTTCCCGTTAATTTCCCACCTTCTGCTAGGGACCTCAGGCCTTCCGATGGTCCCAGGGTGCAATCCAACACTTGCACTATCTATACCTCTTGTCCTGTTTTATTTTTCTCCATTGCATTTATCACCTTGCAACAGACAAAAAAGTTTACTTGTTTATTATGCTTGTCTGTCTCCTTCCAGTACAATTTAAATCCTGAGGGCAGAGATTTTTGATCTGTTTTGTTCGTGGCTATATTCATGAAACCTAAAATAGTGCCTGGTATAGGTATATAGTACCCAATAAATGTTTGCTAAGTGAATGTCCAACTCCTTGGTGATCCCAATTTCCAGATCACTGTCCTAGACACTTGCCCTTCTCGGGTTCCCTCTACCCCTCAGGGACTCAGGCAACCAACCCTCTAAGTTCCCCTATCCTCAGGGCCCTTGGGCTCATTGGGCTGCCCACCCATCCAACCTAGCACCGGCTCTTTCACCCAGACATCTTTATACCCTGGTCCATGGACCTCCGCAGGGCGATGAACTTGGCCCCCTCATCGGATGAGGACATTTTCCTCGCCTCAGCAAAGGCGAGAAGAGTGCCCCGCGGAGTGGCTGTGATGAGCGGGATGCGGAAGGTGTCCACTGAGCCGATCTGTCTCCCGCTCACCCACAGCAGTTGCTCCATGGTCACCAGCGGCTGCACCTGTCATGGGAGGAGGAAGGGTCAACAAAGACAAACTTGTCTTGGGGGTTTTAGGAACCCACGTTCCGATGGGAGAGGGAGGATCTAATGGGGATCCCGAGTAGGGGATGGGGTCCCAGAACAAGAAAGAGGAACACGAAGGGGAGTTTGGAGCGAAGCTGGAGGCTCGGAGCAGGGGAGGGTCTACGAAAGGAGAAGGCGCCTTCAGGGAGGGAAGGGGACCCCAAAAGAGGAAGGGGCTCGAATGAGGAGAAGGACGGGGACCCGGAGAGGGAGAGGGGCTGGGAGCGGTAGGAGGAAACGGGGTCTGGGAGAAAGAAAAGGGTCCTGTCGCGGAAAGTCGGCTCAGCCGCCCGCGTTCCGGGGGACACTAGGTGTCGATCACCTGCGCGGGTCGGGGATGGGGCTATGCAAAGGGTGACTCACCAGACCGAAGTCGTTCTCAGCCTTGGACCAGGAGGCTGCCAGAGACAGCAGCAGGAAGATCGCGGCAAACACCCAAACCCTACAGCCTCCCCAGAAGCCCAGAATCCGCGGCCCCCAGCGTCTGTCCGGGAGCGCCGTGCTGGGTCGCTCCCCAGTCATCTCTCCCCGCAGCTGCCGCGACCCTGGCAGCTAGACTCCACAGAGTCGGGAGTCAGCTGACCCGGACCCTTTAAAGCGCAGATGTCACCCTTAAGCCCGCCCCGGTCTGGAGGCCCCGCCGCGCTTCCCGGACTCTAATTGGTCTTCAAGTAGCTCATCTCCTCCCACGTGATCACGCAGCATCTCGAAGCTTGCCCTTCCGATTGGCCCTCTTGGAGGCCCTCTTGGAGGCCCGGAGCGCGTGACCCGAACGGGAAGCGGACTGGCTGGGGTGAAGAAGGGACTGGCACCATCCTTATTGGGCTTTTTGATTGGCCGCGGCACCAGGACACGTCACAGGGGCGGGGCCGATTTTAAAGAGCCGGGCGCGGAAAAAAAAAGGCCGCCTGTCGTCGTGGAGAGAATGAGTCACAGATTTACTGAGTTAACAAAATATCTTTAATAAAATCTTTTTGTTTGTTTGTTTTGTTTTGGAGACAGAGTCTGTCACCCAGGTTGGAGTGCAGTGGCGCGATCTCGGCTCACTGCAACCTCTGCCTCCCGGGTTCAAGCGATTCTCCTGCCTCAGCCTCCCGAGTAGCTGGGATGACAGGTGCATGCCACCACTCTCGGCTAATTTTTGTATTTTTAATAGAGACGGAGGTTTCACCATGTTGGCCAGGCTGGTCTCGAACTCCTGACTCAGGTGATCCGCCCGCCTCAGCCTCTCAAAGTGTTGGATTACAGGCGTGAGCCACGGCGCCTGGCCTAAAACCTTTTTTTACCACAAAATGGAGACCTGTAAGGCGAAGTGAGGTTGGATGGCTGGACGGTGGGGGTGGGGTGCAGTCCTGGATCAGGGCCGGAGCTGTCACTTCTTCCTCTTCTTGTTGTCCGGGGGCGCCTCGTTCTTCTTGCCCAGAATCTTTAGAAGGCTCTTGGACATGTAGTAGGGCCGGTCCAGGGAGCCGTTGTTCCGCTCCAGGTCTTCCACTGAGCCGCAACAGAGACCGGTTAGAGCGGACCCTGGGGCCAGGAAATCGGGGACTGGGAGGCAAGCTGCCTGCGGGATTTGGAATCCAAGCTGCACCACCACCCTTACCCCCGGGCAGGTTATGTAATCTCAGTTTCCTCCTGTGAAGTGGGGTCGGGAATATTATGTTGCATAGAGCGATGATAAGAATTAGCGGAAAAAATGCATGTCAGTCGCTTAGGAGGAGACTGGCAAACCCTGAATGGATGCATGCTGTAGAGTAAGAAAATCCCCTGCCGCTACAGCCACCTGCTGGGAAGTCTCTCTAATGGCTCTTTTTTTTTTTTAATCTTTTTTCTTTGTTTTGAGACGGAGTCTTGCTGTCGCCCAAGCTGAAGTGCAGTAGCGCAATCTCGGCTCGCTGCAACCTCCGCCTCCCGAGTTCAAGCGATTCTCCTGCTTCAGCCTCCCAAGTGGCTGGGATTACAGGCGCCCGCCACCGCGCCCAGCTAATTTTTTGTATTTTTAGTAGAGAGGGGTTTCACCATGTGGGCCAGGCTGGTCTCGAACTCCTGACCTCAGGGTGATCTGCCCACCTCGGTCCCCCAAAGTGCTGGCATGACAGGCGTGAGCCACCATGCCTGGCCTCTAATGGCTAACTTCTACCCGAGATTTCTTAGGGAAGATAGCAGAGACCTCTCCATCAGAATGCTCCTTCTTTGGAGAGCCTACCGGCCTGGGGGCTCACTCTCTTCCTTCTTCCCTAAACGCCTGGCCTCAGGATGTCACAAGAAGCTCCCTCTGGTTCGTTTAGCTCACAAAGGCATTGTTTCTAGAAGCACCAAATCTCCAAAAAAAAAAAAAAAATGCTTGAACGGCTCAGTACTTTAAGGTTGGGGACAGGTGGCTGGGGGTGTCACTCACGGAAGCAGAGGAAGAGCGTGTCCACACACATGCCGAAAACGCTGAAGAAGCCGCTGGCGATGACATAGGCCCCCAGGATGGAGGTCTGGAAGACATGACCCGTTGGGGTTATTGGGTTCCTCTGGGGAGTTGGGGGTGGAGCAGCAGAGAGGGGAGTCACTCACCATGATGGGCAGCCAGTAATAGTTGAGGTGGGGGCTCTTAAAGTCTTTACCCAGCCCCGGGATGCGACCGGAGAAAAAAAAGAAGGACAGGACCCCTGTGGAATAATTCTGGGGGTTAGTGCTGCACCTCTGAGGCCACCTCTTCAGCTGCCCAGCACCCCTACCCTCTGTCCCCACAGCTTCTGGTCCCTTACCCACGCCTCCGACCACCAGCAGCTTCCCAAAGAACAGCAGCAGGTCTGTGACTTTGTCCAGGACGACCACCCTGTGCCAGAAGTTAGGGCAGGTTGAGGGTGAGAGGCCTGGCAATGCTGAGAGTGAAATTGGCTTCGTAATTTGTGGGGACTGGTGCAAAATGAAAATTGTTCACGTTTCAAGATGGCAAGAGCAGAGCACTAAACTAAGTCTAGGGCCCGACTGAGCACAGCACACCCACGAAGCCAGCCTTGGGTGGGAGATCAGAGGAGGGAGCCACAAAGCGGGGGGGGAGCAGCCTAACCTGACAATGTTTCGCATGAGTAGCATGAACGCATTTTTGGCTGAGACACAGAAATTCTTCCCGTAGATGGCGATCTGAGGGAGGTGGAAAGGTCAGAGTTACCAAGGCGAGCTGCCTGGACCAGGATGGGGGTGTCTAGACCAAAGGGCACCAGAACAAAGGGTTGCTTGCAGTGTAGCTCACCATGATGTATGCATTGCGGTTTAGGAACTTGATAAATTTTTCCAGACACCAGAGGCAGCACTTGAAACAGCACATGATGCAGCGGGCTACAGGGTTCTGCACTCCTGGGAGCGAGGAAGGCTCATGTTTGGTCACTGCCCCTCCCTAATGGCCTTCCCCAGCTCCTGACTCCTACTCCGACTCCAGACTCACCTCTGAGCTTGTGGTCAATATACTCCAAGATGACCCGGGCTATCTGCACAAGGGTCAGGATGAGGGCTCCAAATGCCAATGACCCAGTGTGGTAACTGCAGAGGGTGTTATGCAGTCAGAGACAGCTCCAGGACCCCTGGGGCCCCCGTGCCTACAATGACCAGGCCCCTGCCCCATCCTTACCGGAGTGTGCGGATGAAGGCAGAGATTAAGGGGAAGGTAGGGATGTCCTGGGGCTTGTGGAAGGCCCAGTAGAAGGAGGCAAAGGCTCCAGCGAGGACGCATTGGCCCAGGGCCAGTACCCAGTTAAGGGTCCAGAAGAGCCCCAGGACCCCATAGATTTGCAGATTGAAGACAGAACGTTGGATTAGGCCTTTGGATGAGTAGCCCTGGAAGACGCACATCAGCCCTGGGCACGAGGAGTTCACAAGGTGGGCCTGGGAGGGTAGACGGGGATAGAGTAGGCTCAGGCATCGGGGGCCTCAGTATGGAGCCTGGGCGTCCCATTCCCAGTAGCTCCTGCCCCTCCCAGAGTTGACAGGTGGGAAGTAGCTTCTCTGGACTGCGGGAATCAAGTTCTGTCGGAGAGTTCCATCTCCAGGCTCAAACTCAGTTTGGTCTGCCTATAGCATAAGCATAATCAGCTCCCTCAGTCTCAATCAGAGGGGAAGGCACTCACTCAGCATTCCCATTCCAGAGCAGCCTCTGCAACGTCTACCAAAACCCTTTCCGGCAAATTGAACAGGCTGGGTATTTGATGATATTAAGGAATTATTGTTAATTTTGTGAGATGTGATAATGATATAGTGGCTATGCTTTTAAACAGTTCTTATCTGTTGAGATCCATCTCAATGCATGTACAGGTGAAATGGCATGATGTCCAGAATTTGCCTTAAAAGTCTCCAGAAAAAAAAATTTATGAGGCGGGTGCAGTGGCTTATGCCTGTAATCTCAGCACTTTGGGAGGCCGAGGTGGGCGGATCGCCTGAGGTCAGGAGTTCAAGACTAGCTTGGCCAACATGGTGAAATCCCATCTCTACTGAAAATACAAAAAATTAGCCGGGCGTGGTGGCAGACGCCTATTATCCCAGCTATTCAGGAGGCTGAGGCAGGATAATTGCTTGAACCCAGGAGGCAGAGGTTGCAGTGGGCCGAGATCGCGCCACTGCACTCCAGCCTGGGAGACAAGAGCAAAACTCCATCTCAAAAAAAAAAAAAATTATAGGTGAGGATATAGATGAAATAAGAATAGCAAAAAGTTGAGGGTTGTGGAATCTGGGTACAGGGAACTCACTGTGCTATCATCTCTACTTTTGCATATGTTTAAAAATTCCCATAATAAAAAGTAAAAAGTCACAAATTAAAAAGCAACCCTTTCTAGCAAATATAACCAAAAAAATTTTTTTTTGACACAGGGTCTCGCTCTGTTGCCCAGGCTGGAGTACAGTGGCTCAATCTCAGCTCACTGCAACCTCTGCCTCCCGTGTTCAAGCAATCCTCCTGCTTCAACCTCCCAAGTAGCTGGGACTGCAGGTGTGTGCCACCATGCCTGGCTAATCAAAAAATCTTTTTTTTTTTTTTGAGATGGAGTCTCACTCTGTCACCATATTGGCCAGGTTGGTCTCGAACTCTGGACCTCATGATTCACCTGCCTCGGCCTCCCAAAGTGCTGGGATTACAGGTGTGAGCCACTGCGCGCGGCCTTCTGTCAGTCTTTACTGCTAGATCACAAGCAAGTTGAAAACAACACTCACGTCATACCCAGCACAGTTGCTCATGTGTATAATCCCAACACTTTTGGAGGCTGAAGCAGGCAAATTGCTTGAGCCCATTTGTTTGAGACCAGCCTGGGCAACATAGTGAAACGCCATCTCTTAAAAAAAAAAATTAGCCGGGCATGGTGGCACTTGTTTGTAGTCCCAGCTACTTGGGAGACTGAGGTGAGAAGATCACTTGAGCCTGGGAGATCAAGGCTTCAGTGAGCCATGATCGCATCACTGCACTCCAGCCTGTGTAACAGCCTTTTTTTCATTAAAAAAGAAAAAAAAAAGAAAAAGAAAAAGAACCACATCATTTTGGGCTTTGTATACCCAGTGCCTGGCACATAGTGGGTCCTCTGTACATGTAAATAAACCTTTTTTTTTTTTTTTTTGAGACGGAGTCTCGCCGCCCAGGCTGCAGTGCAATGGCGCGATCTCAGCTCACTGCAACCTCCGCCTCCCGAGTTCAAGCAATTCTCCTGCCTCAGCCTCCTGAGTAGCTGGGATTACAGGCACCTGCTACCATGCCTGGCTAATTTTTGTACTTTTAGTGGAGACAGGTTTTTGTCATGTTGGCCAGGCTGGTCTCAAACTCCTGACCTCAGGTGATCTGCCCACCTCGGCCTCCTAAGTGCTGGGATTACAGGCATGAGCCACCGCGCCTGCCAAACCTCCCCTTTTTAATAGGGGTGGGGCTAATGCCTGCAGCACAGCTCATGTTCCCAGCTCAGACGAGGTGAAGATATGACAGGTTTGAGAAGAGTAAATTCCCAGCAGCCCAGCGCCACTCCCGGGGAACCTCACAGGGGAATTTTGGAAGCAGCTTCTCTCTCGGGTCCCCCGCAGGGAGTCCCACCTGGCTACTACCTAGGGCTCTGTGTTCCAAGGGAGTAAGACTTAACAATATAATACAATTCAACCTGTTGTTGAGCTCTTATCAGGTGCCAGGCATTGTACTAAGCACTTTATGTGCCCAAAGTCATTTCATCTTCTCAGCCACCCCAGGGATGGGTATTATAATTATCCTCATTTTACAGAGGAATGGAGCTGCATGTGGTGGCTCACTCCTATAATCCCAGTACTTTGGGAGGTTAAGCCAGAGGATTGCTTGGGTACCTGACTACATCGGGGCAACCCCAGGAGTTCAAGACCAGCCCGGGTAACACAGCAAGACCTTGCCTCTACAAAAAGCTTAAAATTAGCCTGGCGTGGTGTCATACGCTAGTAGTTCCAGCTGCTCAGGAGGCTGAGGTGGGAAGATTGCTTGAGCCTGGGGGATGGAGGTTGCAGTGAGCTGAGATTGCACTGCTGCACTCCAGCCTGGGCAACAGAGCAAGACCCTGTCTCAAAACAAACAAACAAACAAACAAACAAACAAACAGGAGTAGGCTGAGACTCAGAGGGTGAAGTGGTTGATGGTCCTCAAGTCAGAGCAATGTCCTGGGGAGGGGTGGAGTAAGTCCTGGTATCCAGGGCTGTCTCTCCCAGCCTCAGTTTCCCTCCCCACATGATGGATGGCTCAACAGGAGTACCAGGTATTCTGGGAACTGGTTTCTTCTAGCTCTGCTGGGGGTTGAGTGTGTGACCTTGCACAAGTGTCTTGCCCTCTGTGGCCTCAGTCTTCTCTGCACAATGAGGAATGTGGCCCCTACAGCCCCTCACCCCTACTAGTCCCGCCTCCATGTCCCCTGCTTCCTCTTACCGTGGGGTTGCATGATGTATTTATTGGCACTTTCTCACAGCCGGGGGAGCTGATGTTGGATGCCCAGAGCACATACTGGGGTTGCCCCGATGTAGCCAGGTACCCAGAGGGGAGTCAAGGAAAGCATGATCACACGAGGTCTCCACAGGTCACTCGCTCCTTAGGGACCTGTTCCTAGGTGCTTGTGCAGATCGTTTGCTGCACAGAGAGGGCTGAAATTCAGCCTGTGTGCACCCTTTCAACTCTGTTCAGGCACAGTGCTGGTGTGTCTGCCCAGAGAAAGGGGCACCTCTTCCAGTGACACCAAGGCACTCTACAGGGCAAGTATTGCTTTGTTTTCCATCACCCCCCAGGACTCCAAGAGTGGCTGGCTGCGTGGGCAGAGGATACAGAGCAGTCATGGCCCAGTAGGCAATGCAGATGAGGAGGAGGACAAAGGTGACCAGTGGGTAGAACATGGTAGACATCATCTGTCCCACAGCCCTGCAGGGAGACAAAGCTGTTAACCGGCACCGCCCCAGCTGTCCATCTTCTCAAGGGGCTGACCCCGGCCGGGCGCAGTGGCTCACGCCTGTAATCCCAGCACTTTGGGAGGCTGAGGCGGGCGGATCACGAGGTCAGGAGATCGAGACCATGCTGGCTAACACGGTGAAACCCCATCTCTACTAAAAATACAAAAAATTAGCCGGGCATGGTGGCGGGCGCCTGTAGTGCCAGCTACTCCGGAGGCTGAGGCAGGAGAATGGCGTGAACCCGGGAGGCGGAGTTTGCAGTGAGCTGACATCGCACCACTGCACTCCAGCCTGGTCGACAGAGCGAGACTCCGTCTCAAAAAAAAAAAAAGGGGGGGGCTGACCCCTCTGCCCTCACTGGGGCCTGCCCCACTCCCCCAGGGTGGGACCAACAGGGTTAGTGACATTGTCTTTCATATCTGTGTCCTCAGGGCCTGGTGCAGGGCTAGGCATACTGTAGGTGCTCACTGGATAAACAGAACTGAATAAATCAGGCTCACAGGACCCTTAGAGGAAACTGGGGTCACAGAGAAGCCACCTGGGGCAGCTTCGGGTGGAGTAAGGGAAGATCACCCCCAAGCGTGATCCCTTGGCAGGTGTGTGTGGCAGTTCCTGATCGGGAGCAAGCTGCTGCCCCTCCTGGCCCGGATTCCTGCCGTTCCACTCAGCCACCACCACTCCCACCAACCCCTCTAGAAGGCCTATGTCATATTCCAGGCACTCATTGAATCCTCAAGACAACCCTAGAAGGCAGGAATTATTGTTACCCCCATTTTACAGATGGGGAAGCAAAGCCACAGCAGTGTTCACCACTGTGCTATATTCCTCCCTTCTCCTCTGAGGCTCCCTGCCACCTCTCTAGCACCCCCTAGGTCCCCTAGCACTCCTGGGTCCACGCTGTCCTCAACCCCATCTCCCTCCCAGGCAGGCCCTAACTTGCTGGCCTCCTTCAGGAGGGCGATGGCAATACGAATCCGCTGCCGCAGGAAGATGAGCATCAGCAGCAGGATGGCTTCAAGCACCGCCAACACGATCACTGCAGAGGACGGGGCAGACAGACCTAGGTCAGGGCCAGGGCTGGGGCCGGGCATGGCCCAGGGCGGTCCTTGGGCAGCTGGTGGCTTGGGGGTGGGCAGGACACTCACGGGCGGCCAGCCAGGTCTCCTGCACGCTCTGGTAGGCACTGAGGTTGGTGGTGAAACCCAGCTGGGAGATGGAGGCGCCCTTGTCCCGCAGCACTCGGTACTCCTCCCAGCAGTAGTAGATGCCGTATGCCAGCACGCCCAGCACTCCCAGGATCAGCACCAGCACCAGGGGCCCAGCCACCAGGCGCAGAAGCAAGATAAACAGTAGGCTCAAGACCAGAGCCACCCCCAGGGCACTGTAGGCAGGGTGAGGACAGTGAGGTTCAGCCCTAGCCCCTCAAATCTTTCCCCTTACAGAGGCCCTCCCTGCCTTTCCACACACCACCCAATGTCCCCAGATTAGGCCTCTTTTCCTTATAAATCCTGTTGGTCTTGGAATCCATTCGGAGCTCTGGCTCCTCCTCCTCTGTCCAAAGCCTGTGTTTCAGACATTGGGCGAGGGGGTAGAGGATCAGGGAGGAAGAAGGCAAGGACACAAGAGGAGGGGAATCTGGTGACTCACACAAGAATCCAATACCAGGACTGGGCAAAATCTTCAAAGATCTTAACACTGATGTCTCGGGCATTGAGGCTGTCAATAAGACCGCTGTTGGGGAGACAGAGTCAGATGGGGCTGTGGGTGGAAGGGGTGTGGCCAGGATGTGGGGGAGGGAGGTGCCTACCTGATCCCCTGCTGTATGGTGGTGTCATTGGTGATCCCTGGGAGCGCCGGTGGAGTAACGTTGGTCCATGGAAAGCAGCGCCCCAGAGCTGGAAGGGAGAGCCGGGCTGCTGGGTTGGGGGCCAGGAGCTCTGCCTGGAGGGTCTCTGGCCCCCTCCCAGTCCACAGTGCCCTTAGGGGAGGGAAGGGTGATGGGCCTTGCATCCCTCAGTGGGCTGCTTTTGATTTCACAAATGGGCTTCTGCCCTGTGGAGCCCAGTCTATCCCCTGCCTCCCCTCCCTGTCGTGCCTTGGTTTGGACCCTCCTCTCCGCTGGCCTCAACTCTTAGAACACCCTGTCACCCTTCCATCCACCCTCCACCCGAGTGGAGTGCCAGGGAGACCGTGGCACTGCCTGGACTTCATCACTCCAGGGTTCTGGGTCCCTTTGTGACTCAGACATCTCCAGAGGCTCTGCCCCAGAGACAGCATCCACACTCCCTGGCCAGGCTTCCAGGCTCTCCTGTGCAAATCCAGCCCATGTTCCCTTCTACTCTGTACCTTTGCTCTTACTGTGCCTCTCTCTCAGGGCTCTCTTTCCACCAGAAATCCCATCCATGACTCCCTGTTCAAATCCAGCTCCATCTCACCTCCTCCAGGAAGCCTTCTGACCTTATCCCCACCTCCTTTGGCAACTGTTATGTGCCTACAGAGCCACTTACTGCCATCCTTGCAACAACTTTGCCAGGCAGCCTTGCTTTGTCATTTATTTATCTATTTATTTATTTATTTTCTTATTTTTGAGTCAAGGTCTTGCTCTGTCACCCAGGCTAGAGTGCAGCTGCATGATCATAGCTTACTGCAACATTGAACTTCTGGGCTCAAGCGATCCTCCCCACTTAGCCTCCCAAGCAACTGGGACTATAGATGTGCACCACCACACTTGGCTAATTTTTAAATTTTTTGTACAGATGGGGTTTTGCTGTGTTGCCCAGGCTGGCCTCAAACTCCTGGGCTCAAGCAATCCTCCCACCTCAGCCCCCCAAAGTGTTGGGATTACAGGTGTGAGTCACCTCACCTAGCTTATTTATTTTTTAGAGGCAGGGTTTCTCACTCTATTGCCCAGGCTGGAGTGCAGTGGCACAATCATAGCTCACTGTAACCTCCAACTCCAGGACTCAAGTGATCCTCCCGCCTTAGCCTCCTGAGCAGTTGGGACTACAGGCATGAGCCACTGCACCTCACTGTCATTTACATTCTAAAGATGAGGAAACAAGGTTCAGAGAGGTTGCATAGTTGGGTCAAGACCATAGGGCTGGAAAGTGCTAGAATTTATATTCAGATCTACTTGACTTTGAAGTATTCACTTGAGATACTCCTTACTGTACTTAAATTGATAACTGGATATCTCATCTTATGCTATAAATTGTCTAATTTTTTTTTTTTTTGAGATGGAGTCTCACTGTTGCCCAGGCTGGAGTGCAGTGGCACCATCTCGGCTCACCGTAAACTCCGCCTCTGGGCTCAAGCAATTCTCCTACTTCAGCCTCCCGAGTAGCTGGGATTTCAGGTGCCCACCACCACACCTGGCTAATTTTTGTATTTTTAGTAGAGACGGGGTTTCACCATGTTGGCCAGACTAGTCTCGAACTCCTGACCTTGTGATCCGCCCGCCTCGGCCTCCCAAAGTGCTGGGATTACAGGTGTGAGCCACTGCTCCCGGCCTAAAATTTTTGTTTGAGACGGAGTCTCGCTCTGTCAGCAAGGCTAGAGTACAGTGGCGCGATCTTGGCTCACTGCAAAGCTCACTGCAACCTCTGCCACCCGGATTCAAGCAATTCTCCTGCCTCAGCCTCCTGAGTAGCTGGGATAAGAGGTGCATGCCACCACGCCCAGCTAAGTTTTGTATTTTTAGTAGAGATAGGGTTTCGCCATGTTGGCCAGGCTGGTCTCGAACTCCTGATCTCAGGTGATCTGCCTGCCTCAGCCTCCCAAAGTGCTAGGATTACAAGCATGAGCCACCATGCCTGGCCTAAAAATTGTTTTATATTAAAAATGACATTTGCAACTGGGTGTCGGGGCTCATGTCTGTAATCCCAGCACTTTGAGAGGCTGAGGTGGGAAGATTGCTTGAATCGAGGAGTTCAAGACCAGCCTGGGCAACATAGCAAGACTTCATCTCTTAAAAAAAAAAAAAAGACATTTGCTACTGGAAGGAAGAGCATACTGTAAAAGAAAAAAAGTTCAACTGTGATCCTACCACCCAGCCACGTTCACTTATAACATTTGAACAAATATCCTTCTAGCCTTTTCCCTGTGCATATATAAAAATGATATGTGTGCAGGCTGGGCGTGGTGGCTCATGTCTGTAATCCCAGCACTTTGGGAGGCCGAGGTGGGTGGATCACGAAGTTAGGAGTTCAAGACCAGCTTGGCCAAGATAGTGAAACCCCGTCTCTACTAAAAATACAAATTTAATAAATAAATTTAATAAATAAAATAAAAATAAAAATTAGCCGGGCGTGGTGGCGGGCACCATGTGCTGTAATTCCAGCTACTCGGGAGGCTGAAGCAGAGAAGCGCTTGAACCCGGGAGGCGGGGGTTGCAGTGAGCCGAGATCACGCCACTGCACTCCAGCCTGGGCAACAGAGGAAGACTCCGTCTAAAAAAAAAAAATGTGTGTGTAGATTCACCCATGTATGTTTTCATGAGATTTTCATACAGTCTCTTTGTGAACAACTCTAATCTCTTCACCTAGAATGTAGCTGAAGCAGGGAGCAGTTGTTATCCCTGCCTCTGTCCCCAGCACCTGGCACATAGTAGGTCCCCAAAACACTGATGGTCTGACTGCAAGGCCACATAACAAAGAGCAAAATGAAGACCTGATGCTAATTCCAATTTTGCCACCAACAAGCTATGTGACTTCACTCTCTCTGGGCCTGATTTCTTCATTCAAGCAATGAAAACACTGGACTAGATGACGTCTGAGGAAGGAATCTGTGCTTCTCACCTGGAGCAGAGGGGAGGAGGAAACTGGGGCAGAGTTCCTGTTGCAGGCTTGTGATCACCGTCTGTGGCAGGAGTGAAAGGACAGACACACAGACACAGAGCAGGATGAAGAAGCAGGTCCCCTCACCACCACCATGGGGCTCAGCCTGTCCCACACTCCCCAGGAGAGCCAACCTGGTGATGATCTACCCAACTCCCCCTCCCTCTCGTGCCCACCCTGGCCCTTCTGGGCGACAGTGATGAGGTTAGGGGCAATATTCACCATATTCCAGGGTACCCCTGGCAGACAAAAGTTCCTGTTTTTTGTATAGAAGACTTCCCCAACAGTCTGTGAGAACTCGTTTTTTCCCACAGTCCATGGGTCCTCCGGGCAGGAGGACACACACACCTGGGTGCAGAGAGAACACTAAGGGGCTGGAACCTGAGACCCTGGGTGAGATCTGGGGTAGAGGCAGGTCCCAGGCTCTGACCTGGGGTGTGGGGCACTGTAGGCCGTTCTCAGCAACTGAGATGATGTTGCTGGACAGGATGCAGCTGAAGATGTTGAAGTACAGGAGATACGGCTTATCTCTGTGGGAGGGGAGGGACCATGTGCATCAGGGCCTGGTCAGGTGTTGGGGGAGGGGAGGGACCACTAGGGTGGCTTCTCAAGAATACAGTGGGCCCAGCCCAGCGTGGCCCATACCAGTCACCTCCCAGCTCCTGGCCCTAGCTCAGCTGGGGAGGTAGGGAGATGCCTAGAAGATCTCTCAGAGTAAGTCACCATTGCAGCAGCTGACAAATAGCTCAGAGCATGAACTTGGAGCTCCACAACTTCATATCATCTTTATGATCTTGAGCAAGTCACCTGTTCTCGGTCTTAGTTCTACTCCATATAAAACAGTAGTGCCTACCTCATGAGATTTCAATGCGCTTGTGTGTGTAAAGTTTACTGCCTGCCTGGAACATAGTAAATGCTATATAAATATTTGAGGTTTTATTATTTATTGGACATCTGTATGTGAGGACTGTTGGCATTGCTTCTGGAATTCCCCTTGAATTTCAAATAAGGAAATCAAAGCTCAGAGAGCTTGAGTAACTTGTCCAAGGCCACACAACCAAAACTTGGTCCAGTTGGGGATCCAAACACCAATCTCTGAACTGTAAAACTCATACACTTAACACGACTCTCCACTGCCTCCCATTTCTGGGGGGACTCAAGAAGCTAACTGTCCAGCAATGGTTCTTAACGTGGCCTGGAGTTGTCAGATTCAGGGAGGCTGAGGTGGGGTGGGGACAGCAGGGAAAGGCTGTGGAAGAGCACGGACAGGTCTGGAGCCTGAGTTGGGGGGGTGTCTCCTGCCCACCCTACCTCGCCTCGCTCCTGCACTCCTCTTCTCGCCTTTGTACTCACTTGTTCTCCCCCATGCCACAGTAGGCCCCAGTAGAGTTCCTGGGGTAGAGGACTTGCCGGGGGTCTCCATACAACCAGGCTGCAGACAGAGGCACAGATGAGTCATTGGAGGGCAGGGACTTAGTGGGGCAGTTATGGGAATGGTCCCTCCCTGGGTTCCTGTCCCTCACCCACTGCCCTGGCTCTGAGCAGCTGGAAACTCACCCACAATCCCCACCACGATGTAACCTAGAATGAAGAGCAGGAAGAGGACGCAGCAGATGACATCTGTGCAGCTTCTGAGAGAGAAACGAAACGGGAGGCTGAGCTAAGGAGACTTGGGGAGGTAGGGCTTATGGTCTGGAGGGGTTAAGGGTTAGAGAGTTGGGTGATGCTGCAGCATGGGCATCAGTAGGCTTTATTTTTATTTTTTTATTGCTTTTACTTTTTTATTTTGAGACAGGGTCTCACTCTGTCACACAGACTGGAGTGCAGTGGTGCAATCTTGGCTCACTGCAGCCTCTGCCTCCTGGGTTCAAGCAATTCTCCTGCCTTAGCCTCCCGAGTAGCTGGGATTACAGGCGCGTGCCACTACTGCCCGGCTAATTTTTTTTAAATATTTTATTTAGAAAACCTAGCCAGGCACAGTGGCTCACGACTGTAATACTAGCTACTTGGGAGGCTGAGGCAGGGCAATCCCTTGAGGCCAGGAGTTTGAGACCAGCCTGGGCAACATAGTGAGATCCCATCTCAAAGAAATTAGCCTGGTGTGATGGTGCATGCCTGTAGTCCCAGCTACTCGGAAGGCTAGGGCAGGAGGATCACTTGAGCACAGGAGTTCGAGCCTGCAGTGAACCCCCATCTCCAAAACACAAAAAGAAAGAAAACCTTTTTCTGGGTGGGTAAACTTTCTTCTGAAGTAAAAGACAGAAAAGCACACAACTCGCAAGGGCTCAGCTGGGTGAGTTCTCTCGCTTGTGAAGCCGGCACTTAAGTCAAGAAACAGAACATCCCCCCAGAACTGGGAAGCCCTCGATGCCTGCTCCAGACACAACAATCCCCCCAGGGCACCACCCATCTGGGGCAGGAGTTTCTCTTTTTCACAAGTTTCCTACTAATATTTTAGCAAATACAAAGCAAATACTGGATTCCACACTGCACCCACCACCCCCGCCAGCCCCCGGAGCAGTGCCCAGAGCTCACCTGTTCTTGATGGGGCCTCGAAAGGAGGGGTCGTATTTGACTGGCTTCCCTGAGGGACATGAGAAGAGGTGTGGAGGATGAGTCTCTCTCTGCATATCTTGTCCTGCTGAGTCCTCCTAGCCCCAGGATCCTACCCAGGCCTCAGGTGTTTGGAGGGAGATGGGCTAGGGCAGGACTGGCAGGAGGGGAAAACTGGGGAGCAGGAAAGGTAGGATCCAGGCCTGGTCAGCAGCTCAGCAGCTCCCTGGGAGCTCCACCCAGGCTGCCATGGGGAGGGGAAGGAAGGCCTTTATAGTTTCCGGCTCACATCTCAAGGCAGTCAGTCTGGGAAATGGCCTTGGTCCCCTGCCCTACCCTGGCACGGTTCTCCTGAGTCTCCCTTTAGCTGGGATGTGGGACTCCCAGTGGCTCTCACTCCCTCATTCTCATCCCTGCCTCCTCCCTAATCCCTCCCCAGGGACCACACAGACCCACAGCCCCTCAGGGAGGTCATGGCCTCTTCCCCTATCTGCCCCAGGCCCTACCTTACCCTCTGGTTCAAGGCTATGGGGAAAGAAACTGGAGACAAAGGTGTCAACCCCAGCAGGGCCTGGGGAGGGAAGCGGCCCTGTACATCCTCACTCTGGTGGGACCTCAGTCCCCTGGCCACAGTGTGCTCCGGGCTCTGGGCCAGCAGTCAGAGTGACACCTGAGCCCAGCCATAGAGATTGCAGGCACGTTGAGTTCCTGGTCCTCCCTGAGTACACACACAGGGAGGAGGAGGGCTGGGCAGTCAGGGTTCCTTGTGGGCACTGAGGAGGGAGAGCCGAGGGCTGGGCAGGAGTCTGGGAAGGAGCGGGTGGGGTCCACTTTCCCCAGGTGCGCTGGACTCTGTCCCTCCATGGCTCATGGACAATGATTGACCTGAAGCCGCTCCAGGAAGTCTACTCGGGAGTCCTCACTGCCTGCTCCCCTATGGCCCTAAGGGACTCAAGCCTCTCCTCGAGAAGGTCCCTCATAGGGGTTCCTTCCCCTTCAGACCAGAAGACCAGGGGGGCCTCCGCAGGTGAGTCCCCAGCCTTCACTGCTCGTGGGGATCTGGAGGCCAGTCCCCAGCTCCCTCTCTCCTCAGAACCCCAGCCCCTTTTCCTTGCAGATTCTGGAAACAGGCTCCCTGCTGTTTCTCCCCTCAGGCCTCACCCTTCACAGGAACCCCAGGGGCCCTGTCCCTATTCCTCAGAGTACCCCAAGACCAGCTCCTGCTCCTAGCTCCTCACAGAGACCCCTAGGCAGGACCCCAGCCCCCTTTCCACAAAGACCCTCAGCCCCAACTCCTCACAGGGACCCCCAGCAGAACCCACTCCCTCTGCCACTTCTCCCAGAGACCCTGGCAGGCAGAGGCCAGCCCACTCAGGGTCCCCTCACTCCTCAAGGGAGCCGGCAGGCCACAAGCAGCTTTCGCCCTCAGAGACCCAGACTCCAGGCTGAACCTCCTCCTCCTTACAGGGACCCTGGCCTCACTGGTTGCAGGCTCTGCAGCACAGGACACTCCCAGCATCCAGCCCTATTCTGCTCAGGGCCCCAACCTGCCACCTTCCATCTCGGCTTTGTTTCCTAGGGCCCTGCCCTTAGGGACCCAGAGTCCAGGCCTGAAATACCCCCCTCCTCCCAAGGACCTCAGCCCCAACTCTTCAGAGGCACCCAGCTTCACTCCCCATGGGCTCCCCAGCAACAGCCCCAGCCCCCGGGCCCCATCCTCCTCCCAGGACCCTGACTCCCTCCCTCCATGGCTCCCGGTTCCCGGGCCCTCCCCTCAGGGACACAGTACTCTCCTTAGTTCCTCTCCCTGGAGCCAGCCCCAGACACCATTCCCAAAGTACCCGTCCTCCCCTCCCTCCACAGGGTCCCGGGCCTCGCCCCAGTCTCACCGTAGGCCTCGTCATCCTCGTCCCGCTGCTTTCCCCCCATGGCTCAGTCTCCGGAGTGATTGGAGCCCTGGAGACCTGGCGTCTCACCTGCTGCCCGCCCCGCCCTCCCACACGTCACAGCCCCACCCCCGCCTGTGGTCCCCGACACACTCTAGTTCCTTCTTCTCAACTTTGTGCCCAGCGGGCTGGGGAGCTGGAGCCTGGGACGGGGGCTCAGGGCTATTTCCTGGGGGCACTACGGACCACAGTGAACGACCTGGCATGCTCTGATAAGAAAACGCTTTATAATCTCGCAAACTACCTTAACTGCCGTACACTCCCAACACGCTCCCGCCAAAGATTAAAGTGTGGAAATTGGACCTGTTTTTTCCTTTTTGAGATGGAGTTTCGCTCTTGTTGCCCAGGCTGGTGTGCAGTGACTCAATCTTGGCTCACTGCAACCTCCGCCTCCTGGCTTCAAGCGGTTCTCCTGCCTCAGCCTCTGGAGTAGCCAGGATTACAGGTGCCTGCCACCACGCCCAGCAAATTTTTTCTATTTTGAAAGATGGGGTTTCACCAAGTTGGCCAGGCTGGTCTTGAACTCCTGATCTCAGGTGATTCGCCTGCCTTGGCCTCCCAAAGTGCTGGGATTATAGGTGTCAGCCACCGTGCCTGTGAAACTGGATCTTCATAGTGGCCCCCCACCTCCCTGCCCCGCACTGGGCGGCCATCACACCAGCCACACCTGTCCAGCCTGCTTCCCATCCTATTCTGGCCCTTGGACCCACATTCCCTCTAGCCAAGTATGCTTTCTCCCCACCCCAACACAAAAATCGCAGTTTATTACCAAACCCAACATTTATTGAGAACAAAAGGAACCAGTTGGCATAGAGGCCCGACTTCAATTCATCAAACTTCAACTGAGGATGGGGAACACGGGGGGTGGCCAGCCCTGAAGTTGCCCTCCCAGGGAGGAACCAGCTCTGGGAGGGAGGGGCTGTCAGACCTCCAGGGCCTGGCTGGGATCTCTGGTCAGGAATGTGTGAAAGGGTGGTGGGGAGAGAAGATGGCAGCACCCCCAGGCATGGGCTGCGAGCAGCTGGTGGCAGAGGAGGCGGCTGAGCTGTGGCCATCCATGCTGGGGAGAGAGGGTGTGGTCCGTTCTCATGTGTTGACAGGGGGCAGGGAGCCGAGCTCGGGCAGCAGCTCAGGGTGTGGGTCCAGGCGGGCCAGACGGCTCTGCTCCAGGGCAATGGCTTCGGCTGAGTGCTTGCACTTCTCAGAGCCACATTGGCAGGTGAAATATTTGCTTTTGATGTCCCAGAAGCGGTCGCCATAGTCAAACCTGTCAGAGGAAAACAGGAGCTTGTGGGACCTGGACCCAGCCACCAAGAGCCCACCCCGAAGACCCTGTGGATCCTGCTCCCTGAGAGGGACCCGACACCCAACCTATCTTCTCCAGATGGGATCTGAGCCCCTTGTATGTTCTATGGACTTTCAGCATCAGCATTGCCTGGGGACTTGTTAGAAATGCAGAATCCTGGGCCCCATCCCAAGCCTACTGATTCAAAATCTCTCTGGGAGGCACAGGACTGTTTCCCCAAGTCCTCCAGGAAATACTTATGTACACTGAAATCTGAGAAGCTCTGCACTACTCCATGCCTGGACACCAGGTACATGCCAGCCTTCAGGTCCCAGGTTTGCTGCATCTCCCACCCCCTGGCAGAGCCCCTAGAGACCCCTAGAGTCTCACCCTAGCTCCTCCCCAGTCCGGATGTCTCGGGAACTGAAGAAGGCGATGCGTGGAAATCGCAGGTCTTGGTGCAGCATGAAGACCCGGACGGGAATGATGTTGGGGTCACACAGGTGGTTGATGAAGCGGCTGATGTTGCCATAGTAACGGGCATCTATGCAGTACACCTCTCCATCCTGGGGCAGGGGGATGGCACTCTTCACATCTCCCCCGACCCTGCTTGCCCTCCCCACCCACTGACTCCCCAGTCCCTCCTCCCCAGGTTTCCATTTGCTGACTTCCCAGAGGCTCCTGAAAGCCAGCCCTGGGGAGCAGCAGGGTAAGGAGGGTCTCCTGCTCACCTTGTTGTCTAAGTCGAAGAGGTAAGAATCATCCTCTCTCACATCAGCCTCAGCATCAGAGATCAGCTCCCCGACATACCTGTGGGACAGGAATCCATGGTTCTGAAGGTGAGTGTGGGCTATTAGGAGGTGGCTCCAGGCCCCATCTCTCTTCACAAGCCTGTGGAATCTGGAATGGGCAGGGCTGGCAGGTGTGGGGAAGGGAAGGCCTGGAGCAGCAGTGGTGGGCAAGTGAAAGGGCAGCATTCCAGCCTTGACAGAGGAAGCCTTCAGTCAGCACAGAGACAGACAACAAGCTCTGTGGTTAAGGGGATTAATGTGTAGGGGCAGTTGGCCTGGGTGGGGAAGTTCGGGTTTGGACACAGAGAGGTTTGTGTTCCAGGAGCCACCCGGCAGGAATGGGCGATATGGAACAGGAGAGGGGCCAGGACTGCAGGAAGAGCCAGAGGTACAGGAGTGGCAAGGAACTCAAGGCATGATTCGGGGCAAGAGCACCCACACATATCTGGACACCAGAGGGAGGAGAGGAGCCAGCTATCTAAGGAGGGTGAGCAGACATGGGAGATTCAGACACACGGAGAGGACGTGGGTGGGAAGTGACTGTCAAGAGACAGCTTCAGCAGAGTGGGAAGGGCAAAGGCCGATTTTGGCAGGGACAGGCAGTGAGTGGATGGTGGGGAAACTGAGGCCCAGCAGGAAGGGGCTGCTTGCCAGAGAAGTTGAGAGATGACATGATGGAAAGAAACTGGATGGTCTGTTGAACAGGCAAGTATGGTTAGAGGACTATCTTTTTTAAAGGCCAAAGAATGGTCAGGCACGGTGGCTCACGCCTGTAATCCCAGCACTTTGGGAGGCCGAGGTGGGCGGATCATCTGAGGTCAGGAGTTGGAGACCAGCCTGGCTAACATGGTGAAACTCCGTTTCTACTAAAAATACAAAAAATTAGCCGGGTGTGGTGGTGCGCACCTGTAATCCCAGCTACTTGGGAGGCTGAGGCAGGAGAATCGCTTGAACCTGGGAGGTGGAGACTGCAGTGAGCCAAGATTGTGCCATTGCACTCCAGCTTGGGCAACAAGAGTGAAACTCCGTCTCAAAAAATAAATTAAAAAAAAAAAAAAAAAGAGCCAAAGGAGACTAAAGTAAGATTGAGGGTTGTGGGATGGCAGCCAAGAGAAAGGGGGAGATTACAGATGCTGGGCAGAGAAAGAACTGATGGAGAGGGACAGGCCCCTGAGGAGGTGGACAGATAGGTAGCTGTTATCACCTCCACTCTACAGACAAGAAAAATAAGGCTCAAAGAGGTTAAGTAACTTGGCCAAGAACATCCAGAAGCAGAGAGGGGCTCAAACCCAAGTCTGTTTGTCTCCCAAACTGGCACTTTCTCCAGCTAGGAAGGGCGAGGAGGGGGTGGAGGGGAAGGTAGAGGGTGGAGGTGGAGGGGAGGGAAGACAAGCTCTGTGGTCTGGGCAGAGTGGAGGCAGGTGCCATTCTCAGCTGGGGGGATGGGGGTCAGAGGCGGCTGGCTGCTCAGCTGCAGGAATAGGGGTCAGAGGAGGCTGGCTGGAGAGTGGCCAGATGGAGACATGTGACTCATCAGGGCAGATGGCTGAGAGGGAGGCCTGGCAGTCAGCAGTGGCCATGTATCCCCTTCCCACCAGGTGTTAAGGTGCTCCCGGTGACTTACTCGCAGATGAAGGTCCCCTGTGGGATGGTCTGCAGGGCGCGGACCCCCCAGCCCATCTTGGCTGTTCGGTAGAGCTGTAGCCGCACCCTGGGGGTAGGAGAGATGGCGCTGTTGGGTGGAGGCCCTGGAAAAGCCCCAGGGGCAGGGAGGAAAGGGTGAGGTGGGGAGAGGGTGGGCTGTGGAGCAGGGCCTCACTTGATGCCACTCTGTACGACCCGGTTCTTGCAGTTTCTCCAGCATGAGCACGCCTGGTTACACTCGAAAATCAGCGGAGGCTCAATCTTGTTAAATTCCTGGAGCAATCGCCCATCCTAGGGTGCGGAGGGGAGGATAGTGGTTTCTCTGTGGGGCCCACCTCAGCTGCCCACCCAGGAACCCCAAGACTCTACAGAGACAGGGAAGTTGGGGTTGGGGAGGTCACACAGGCTCTGAGATCCGAGAGCACGAAATGCAGGAGCATCATCCCTGGTTTGCATAGACCTGGGCACACGCCCATCGCTGTCCCAGCCACATCCCAGGATTCCCAGGCCTTGCCCAGTCCTCTCAGTCACTTCCCCCACAGGGTAGGAGGTGAGGGACATGGTCCCAGGGAGCTGGTTTATTGGAGGCTGGCTCCTCTGAAGGAGGGGCCGGGTGTCTGTGGCCAAGGCAAGGGGCACGCACCTTGTCATACCAGCACCGGATGCTGAGCTGGCCGCACAGGCAGTTGGAGCTAGAGCAGTCGTCCACACACGTGCAGTGCTGGGGCGAGGAGGCAGGGGTCAGCTCAACCCCATGATCGGTCTGGGCCCCTCTACTCTTGATGCCCCCTGACCCCCTAACCACTGTCCTTTCTTTGGGGTCCATGTGTTACAACAGTGGGTGGTGATGGTCCTAGGGTGACGGGTAATCAGTATGGTGGTGTCCCCAGGGCTACTGGGAGCTCATATGATACCTTGCTGTGACCTAGGAAAAGGATCCCTCCCCTGGTGGGGATGCGACCCCACACCAGGGCTCCCTTTCAGCCAACCCTTCCTTGGCCAGGTGCCTTTGCTGGTTTGAAGCTTGTCCAACTGTACTTGGCAGCTCTCGGTGTCCTTTTGGGGAGGCCCCGGGCCCCCTACTCACCTGCAGGTGGGTGATGTTGCGATCGATGTTCATGGTGGACGTCTCGCAGTTCTCTGAGATGTACTTGTAATCCTCAGGGCAGGGCTCCCCATCCACACCGTTGACACAGGGAATGGGCACGTTCTCATAGCCCCGAGCCACGTCCCTGCAGAAGACGGGAAGAAGGGGCTGGGAAGCTGGAAAAGGGGGTGAGGAGCTACTCCAGGTATAAGGAAGAGAGTTGGGGAGGTTCCTGGGGCTGGGGGCAGGGGAGTAAGGTTGCCAGGTAAGATGCAGGACAGCGAGTTAACATAGAATTTTACATAAACAAGAAATAGCTTTTTAGTATGTCCCAAAAATTACACAGGACATTCTCACACTAAAAAAGTATGCATCTGTGCATCTGAAATTCCAGTTTAACTGGGTGTCTTCTATTTTTATTTGCTGTATCTGGCAACCCTAGTGGGGAGGGGGCCTGTGGGTGGTTCTGGGGATTCAGTGGTGCATGGGGAGGGGTTGGGGAATGTTGTGAGGATGCAATGGAGCCTGGGGAGGGTATGGGTGGGGAGGAGGTGGTCTTGGGTGCAGAGAGGGGCCCAGGGCTCACCGGCAGATGATCTTCTCTGTGCGGATGGCCCGATTTCCCACCCCAAGTCGGAGCTTGCGGTTGAGTTGAAGCGCAAACCACACGTCGGAGCGCTCGGGAGTCAGGTCCCATGCTGTGTCCCCCTCTTTGTTCCGCAGCTCAGGGTTGGCCCCACGTGACAGGAATAACCTGAAGAGGGGACAGGATGCCCAATGCAGGGTCTGAGGCTGCAAGAAGTGGGGGCAGGGGCATCAAGGGCGGGGCAGGGGCTCACAGCACGCAGTCATGGTAGCTCTCCCGAGCTGCGATGTGCAGGGGGGTGTCCCCATGGTAGTTGACAGCATGGAGGTCACAGCGCGCATTCAGAAGGACTTCGGCGATGGCGGCGCTGCCCGTGAAGGAGGCCCAGTGCAGGCAGATGTTCTCCTCCTGTGGAGGTAGGAGGGGAACAGATGAGGTGCAGGCAGCTGGGCCCTTGAATCCAGCCTCCACCTTGCTCAGGGGCCTGGGGCTGCCCTACCTCAACCAAACGCTCACTCACGTTGTCAGTGAGGGTGACGTCGGCGCCCCGCGTCAGTAGCATGCGGATCACCTCGATGTGCTTGTGCTCTGCAGCCCAGATGATGGGCGTCCACCCCCCACTGTCCTGTGGGTGGGAAGGGAGTGAGGGTGGGGGCAGCTGGCCCTGCTCACCAAAGCAGCAAATGGTCAAGATTGGCTGTGTGTGTGAATCCCAGCTCCACCATTCACAAGCTGTGGGACCCTGGGTAAGTCACTTAACGTCTCTGGGTCGCAGTTTCTTCATCTAAAAAATGGGACTAGTAGGGTCGGGCGCGGTGGCTCATGCCTGTAATCCCAGCACTTTGGGAGGCCGAGGCGGGCGGATCACGAGGTCAGGAGATGGAGGCCATTGTGGCCAACACGGTGAAACCCTGTCTCTACTAAAAAATAGAAAAAATTAGCTGGGCGTGGTGGCAGGCGCCTGTAGTCCCAGCTACTAGGGAGGCTGAGGCAGAATGGCGTGAACCCGGGAGGCGGAGCTTGCAGTGAGCCAAGATCGTGCCACTGCACTCCAGCCTGGGCGACAGAGCAAGACTCCGTCTCAAAAAACAAACAAACAAAAATGGGACTAGTAGCGTCTACCATCTGATGCCAGAGAGAAAATAAAGTAATTGTTCTCTTTCCAAAAAATACAGCCAGGAGCTGGTCATGGAGGTGCATGCCTGTAGTCCCAGCTACTCATGTGACTGAGATGGGAGGGTTGCTTGAGCCCAGGATTTCGAGGCTGCAGAGAGCTATGACTGTCTGTGAACTGCTACTGTACTTCAGCCTGGGTGACATAGCAAGACCCTGTCTCTTAAAAGAAAAAACGAACAAAAATTTCCTAAGTCTGCCCACTCAAAAGTCCTAGAAGCAGCGACAACCCAATAACAATAAACACTCCTAGGAACATAGATTGTATTCTCTAAAAAATGCTTCTGGCCGGGCGCTGTGGCTCACGAGGTCAGGAGTTCAAGATCAGCCTGGCCAATATGGTGAAACCCCGTCTCTACTAAAAATACAAAAATTAGCCGGGCATGGTGGTGGGCGCCTGTAATCCCAGCTACTCGGGAGGCTGAGGCAGGAGAATGGCGTGAACCTGGGAGGCGGAGCTTGCAGTAAGCTGTGATCACGCCATTGCACTCCAGCCTGGGCAACAGAGTGAGACTCCGTCTCAAAAAAAAAAAAAAAAGTTTCCCATAAAGGAAGCAGAGTTTCTTAGAGAAATGGTGGATTCTGAGTTGGGGGCAGGAAATGTGCTGAAAGGTCAGGAGGCTCTCAAAGGCCACTGGGCCACTGGGTCATGTCACAGCCACAGAGGCCTCTTAAAGGGGCTTCTTCTGGACAATGATGGAATAATTCAAAGACTGAGAAGAATGCCAATAAATGACTAAAACACATCCAATGTATGACAACCCAAGAGTTAATAAAAAGCCTCACTGGACACTTTCAGAGATTAAGACAGGAACTGATTATTCTGAAACTTGATAAAGAGAAAGAAACGAGAAAGAAAAGAATGAAGAGAAATACAAATGAGGAAGAAGAAAGCAATGAGGACAGACACGAGCAGTGTGAGGTCAGATGTAGGAAAGGCGGCCCAAAGCCTGAGGCCAAGCCAAGGAACCCAGGCACCAGGGACCCAGAGGGGCTGGGCTGGGTGGGCCGCTGACCTGGGCGTTGACGTCCACCTGTCCTGTGCTCAGCAGCAGGCTGACCATCTCCAAGTTCCCGATTTTGGCTGCGTGGTGGAGGCAGGTGGAACCGTCCTCCTCCTGAGGGAGACACGGGCAAATGAGCCTTTGGGCTGGCACCCCAAACCTGGTCCCTGACTCCGGGGGCCACGCCCTGCTGCCTGCGCGCACACCTTGCTATAGACACAGCCACCACGCTGCACCATGTAACGGGCTACCTCCAGGTGGTTGTTCACCACGGCCTCCATCAGTGGCGTCCGCTGCTGTTTGTCCACTGCATTTATGTTGGCTCCAGCCTGTGAGGGGGCAGGAGGGCTGGCACCAGGGAGGCATGGGGCAGGGGAGGGGCCTAAGGGCCTGGTGAATGAGGCATGGGGCCGGGCCCGTGCTGACCTGCAGCAGCACATGGCAGATCTCCACGGAGCCCTTCTGGGCGGCTGCATGCAGGGGCGTGCGCTTGCTCTGCTGGTCGCTCTGGAAGTTGGGGTCCAGGTTGTCCACTGCGGGGAGAGCCCGCCACACCGGGAGAGGGAGGGACAAGTGGTAAGCAAGCTAGGGGGCAGGTGGCACTTCTTTCAGGAAGGCTTCTCAGGGCCCCAAGCTGGATCAGGGCCCCTCCTGGCATTCTCCGAGCTTGCCTCCACCACAGCATTTATCAGAATAAGGAGTCAAAGGCATCAGCTCTGCCTGAATTCAAACCCTGCCTTGCTTCTCAGTACCACTGTGCACTGTGCAAGGTCCCTAACCTCTCTGTGCAAGCCAAGGCTAACAGGTATAAGCACTCAGAACAGGACCCAGCACCTATGAGTCACCACATCCCCATCGTTATGGGTTACATGTGTCTTTTCCCCACCACACTAAGTCCTTCAGGGCAAGGACTGTGTCCTTCACGACTGTACTCCTGGCCCTGTACCCAGTGCCTGGTATATACATGAAGCTTGGTCAAGGTCTGCTGAAGGAATGGGTGGCACTCACACAGCATCAGGATCACCTTCTGCAGCTCGCCCTGCTTCACGGACAGGTACAACTGCCGAGGGTGGAAACGGAGCTTCTTCCGCCTGCCAAGGGAGCACGGGAGCGGGGAGAGAAGGGGAGCTCCTCAGATTCCAGCATCAGCCTCGACACCACTCCTCTGGCCTCAGCCCCAGTTGCTGTGCCTGAGCAACTCCCCACTCACCTCTCTGACTCCTGGATGACCAGGGCCTTTTCCAGGGCCTCCCGGCCTGGCCCCAGTGGCAGCCCCACGGCTGAAAGGCAGCCCCCATTGGGCAGGGTCAGGGAGGGCCCTGAGCTGTCAATGGTGTCAGCCAGGGGATCGCAGGGCGGGCGCCGGGGTTCCCCATGCCCTCGCATCCGGGCACTGTGGAAGAAGGAGCTCATGTCCAGGAGCAATAGGGGTGGGGGAGGGAACAGACAGTACAGAAGGGGGAGGCCAGTACCTGGGCTGAGAAGTGTCTGCTCTCCCGGGGACATCCTGGGACAGGGGTGGGGGTGCAGGAGCTGCAGTGCCGGCCGGTGGGGTCACCCCGTCACCCCGGGGGATGGTCACCTCTTGAGCTTCAGAAGCATCCTCCCCACAGTGGGGACAGAAGACCATCCCATTCAGCTGAGACACACAGGCCTTGTGGAAGCGGTGGGCCACACGGAAGTCAGGGTGGCACTCCAGGAAGGTGCCCTGGGAGCAGGGAAACAACATGGTCAGGTTACTGGGGCCCCCTCTGCCACAGGGCATGCTACCTGTCTGCCCCACTGGTCACTCACCGCCGTGCAGAAGTAGCCGCAGCCCGGGCAGCAGTGGTGTTTGACCATGCGGGCGCGGTGGGTCTCACAGAGCACCATCAGGGCCACACGGCTGGATGGCCTCATGGTCTCCCGCTTGAGGATGGCGGCATTGCAGCCTGACAGCTGTGCGCAGTGAGGATGGGTGAGAAGAGAGCGTGAGGCTGGGGCCGGGGACTGGACGCCCTGGCACCTCTCCCACCAGCCCACGGCCCCACCTCTCCGTCCACACTCTCAGTGGCCATGCACTTGTGCCCCGCCCTCTCGCTGATGCGGTCAATCTTGGGTGCCTCCATGCGGCAGCTGCACAGGGGCAACTCCTCAAACCCTCGCTCTGTCTCCAGCGAAGATGTGTCATTGGACACCCCTTGGATGGAGGAAAAGAGGAGCTGAGGGAGGCTCTGCACCTCACCTACTGGGACCCCTGGCGGGTCCTCTCACTCCCTCCCTACCCCACCCCGCCATGCCCCAGAACCCCTAAAGCCTGGCCATGGACACCCCGGCTCTGGCGTGGTTCCCCTCCTTCCCTTTCCCTCCTGCCCTGAGGTCGCCCCCTAGTGGCTCCCTGTCCCGGCAATTGGCAATTACCAGCGTGGTTGGGGGAGAGGGTCCCCTCGCTGGGCAGCTCCAGGGACCCCAGAGGGACCTCCATGTACTCACTGGGGCCTGAGGAGCCCACACCATTCACTCCTGACACAGAGACAGAGAGAGTGAGAGTGCGAGCTCACAGGTGCCTGGACGCGTGGGTACATGCAGGTGGACATGCGAGAGCGTGTGTGTGCGTGCACACACTCTGGGGGGCCGGGCGGGGGCTGGAGGGCACCCAAAAGCAGCAGAGCCTCCTCACCTCGTGGCTCCTTGGCCCGCGGAGGCTCCCGCTTGCGCCGTTTCCGAGACGGCTTCACCCATGGGCTGTCTTTTCGCCATTTCTTCTTGGCCTTGCGCCGGCCACTGGAACCACTCTGGGAAGGGGGAGGAGGAGGAGTTAGGAACCCTCACCCCCAGGGGCCCCCCCAACACCTTCAGGACCAGACCTCCAGCCCCATAGTCTCCCACTCCTCTGGAGATATCAGCCTCCGTCTCTTACCCTATCTGACTGATTCCCTGACTCCTCATCTTCCTCTTCTTCTTCCTCTTCCTCCTCCTCTTCCTCTTCTTCTTCTTCCTCCTCTTCCTCCTCCTCCTCTTCACTTAGTTGTTCAGTTAGAGCTTCAACTTCAGACTGGGAGAGAGGCAGAACAGACATATCCAACCCCCAGGACTCAGACAATGAGGTGAGTAAAGAAAACCACCACCACCATTGCCCCCCGCCACTACCCACGGATGGCTGCTGGGGATAAGTGTGGGTAGCAGAGGAGACAAAGGGCCACATAAAGAGAGGGTGCATGGAATATTACACAGCAGTGAAAAAGTTACAGACAGCAATGTGCACAGATCTTGGTAATGTGATATTAAGTTAAAAAACAAAAAGCAAGTACCAGAAGATAAACATACTTTGATACCCCTTTTATGATGTTCATAAACAGGCAAGACCACCAATGGTTGCTAAAAACACTAGACACAAAGCTCATGAGAAACTTTATATGAAAGGTTCAGGCTGACATCACCTGAACCCACTGGTCAATCTTATCACTAACAAGAAAAATGACCAGATTAGATGTTCCATGCATCCTGATGTGATGTGGCCAGAAGCACTTGCACCCACTGTCAAGTCTTCTTGGCACCTGAAGCTGATTCCGCCTCTAGATCTATCAGTTTACAAGAAATATGGGCAGAGAGGATGTGTCAATCTCCACCCAATCAGCCAACTCCTAAATGTGAAAAATTCTGTAGGACAACTGAGCTGGTTTCTTTGACAAATAAATGGCAAAAAAAAAAAATCTTTCTTATTTATTTATTGAGTTTTGCTCTTGTTGCCCAGGCTGCATTGCAATGGTGTGATCTCAGCTCACTGCAACCTCCACCTCCTGGATTCAAGCAATTCTCTTGCCTCAGCCTCCTGAGTAGCTGGGATTATAGGCACCCGCCACCACACCCAGCTAATTTTCGTATTTTTATTAGAGATGTGTTTTCACCATGTTGGCTAGGCTGGTCTCAAACTCCTGACCTCAGGTGATCCACCTGCCTCCCAAAGTGCTGGGATTACAGGCGTGAGCCACCACGCCTGGGCCAAAAAATTTTTTTTTAGAAGATGAGGAAATCAGGCCAGGTGTGGTGGCTCACGCCTGTAATCCCAGCGCTTTGGGAGGCCGAGGTGGGCAGATCACGAGATCAGGAGTTTGAGACCAGCCTGGCCAACATAGTGAAACCCTGCCTCTACTAAAAATACAAAAAATTAGCTGGGCATGGTGGTGGGTGCCTGTAATCCCAGCTACTTGGGAGACTGAGGCAGGAGAATTGCTTGAACTCAGGAGGTGGAGCTTGCAGTGAGCCAAGATCACGCCACTGCACTCCAGCCTGGGTGACAGTGTGAGACTCCATCTCAAAAAACAAAAACAAACAAACAAACAAACACAAAGAAGATGGGGAAACCTAAATACTGAGAGAGACCTAAGACAAAAAAAAATTTTTTTTTTTTTGAGACGGAGTTTCGCTCTTGTTGCCGAGGCTGGAGTGCAATGGTACGATCTTGGCTCACTGCAACCTCCACCTCCCAGGTTCAAGCGATTCTCCTGCCTCAGCCTCCCGAGTAGCTGGAATTACAGGCACGTACCACTACGTCCAGCTAATTTTGTATTTTTTTCAGTAGAGACGGGGTTTCTCCATGTTGATCAGGCTGGTCTCGAACTCCCAACCTCACGTGATCTGCCCGCCTTGGCCTCCCAAAGTATTGGGATTACAGGCGTGAGCCACTGTGCCTGGCTGACCTAAGACAAATGTTAATCAAATCAAGGTGTGGGCCTCATTTGGATCTTGACAAAAACCATTTGTGAGAGCTGAGGAAATGTGAAGACTGACAGGATATTTGATGGTATTAAGAAATCGGTAAGTTTTTTTAGGTGTGAAAACAGTAGTGTAATGATGTTGAACGACAAAAAGAGGCCTTATATTTACAAATCTATATGGATATATGTTTAGGTAAAATGATATGAGGTCTGGGATTTGCTTTAAAATAACCTAGTAGGTGTGTGTGCTGGGAGATGTAC
This sequence comes from Homo sapiens, assembly GCF_000001405.40. Lineage (NCBI taxonomy): Eukaryota > Metazoa > Chordata > Mammalia > Primates > Hominidae > Homo > Homo sapiens. The sequence continues at coordinate 3,147,499 of NT_167248.2, forward strand.
AGATGGGTCAAGATGGACTGTGTACTGATAATGGCTGGAGCTGTGTATTGGGTACATGGGGGCTCCCTATTCTACTCTTTTGATTATGCTTGCAAGTTTTCATGATAAAATGTTAAATAAAAGGCAAAATCAGAGAGACTAAACATTCTACTGTGTAGGCAAACATATAAGATAAAACCAGACAAAGAGCAACGAAATAAGCAAATAAATGACAATGCAATGCTTTTGAATTTTATATAAACAGCATAACGTATGTTTTAAAAAAGTGCTTTCTGGTCATTTCTTTTTTTGTTTTCTTTTTTTAAACAGTACATGTCTGTTAAATGGTCATTTCATTAGCTGATTAAAAAAAAAAGAATACTAAATCCCATGTGCAGGGTGGTGGCCACCTTTGTGGATGAAACGGGCAGAATACACATTGAAAATGAGTTACAGCTGGGCGCGGTGGCTCACAGCTGTAATCCCAGCACTTTGGGAGGCCAAGGTGGGTGGATCAACTAAGGTCAGGAGTTAGAGACCAGCCTGGCCAACACAGGGAAACCCCGTCTCTACTAAAAATACAAAAATTAGCCGGGCGTGGTGGCAGGTGCCTGTAATCCCAGCTACTCGGGAGGCTGAGGCAGGAGAATTGCTTTAACCCTGGAGACAGAGGTTGCAGTGAGCCCAGATCGTGATATTGCGCTCCAGCCTGGGCGACAGAATGAGATTCCGTCTCCCCCCACAAAAAAAAGGAGTTATAGACAGCATGGGGCAATGACTTAGTGGATATTCAGAAGATAAAAAGGACAGAAAGCAGAAAAACAGGGAACAAGGAGGACTGGACAGTGAGCCCCAGCCCTGGGGGAGCACCGGCGGGGAGGGCAGACCAGCTCTGTCTCACCTTGCTGTCGGAGTCCACGCGCTCATCCACAGAGTAGGAATCATAGTAGAGACTGAAGTCATCACCCACCACCGTCTCCCACTCCTCCAGGGACCCGGGGTCCCCTTTCGTCAGGGTCACTTCTCCTGAACGCCGGGCAGAACCTAACTCCTCCGACTAGAAAAAGATCAGAAAAATTGAGGCCACTGACACCCTGCGCATTTCTACTGAGGATGGGATGCAGCCCCACCTCTGACCCTCCCTCAGAGCAGCCCCCGAGGGGTAGAGGCTCTGCCTCTGCTGCTTACCAGGCCACCTCCTGAGTTCAGCTTCCTCCTTTTGGCCAGATCTGGAAGAAGAGAGAGAATGGTGTGGGGCCTATCACCGAAACCTTCAGAACAGACCACATCAAGTCACCGGGGGTGGGGGATGGGACTGACCTGAGGTCACCTTTCCCAGTGAGTGGACATCATCACTCATGCGGAAATGCTGTATTTCAGGGGGCCGCTTCTCAGGGACCGGGGGCTGTGGGCCGAGAGGGAGCACACTGAGGGTCAGAGAGCACCTACAGTTTTGCCTGGGTTAGCCTGGAGCCCCAGGCGGGGGTGGGGTAGTGAGCCACACCTCCAAATGCCATGTGAGGCTCCAGTAGCCACAAACTGGCAACCACGGGTGCTATTTCCTCAGAGGAAGAGTGTCAAGCACACTAACACTCACTCATCTCTGCAACCATGCAGAGCAGGCCCTTTTCCATTTTACAGATGAGAAAACAAAGCTTAATAAAGTTAAAAGACCTTTTATATGTGGCCATATACACAGCAGGACTGTTTACAACAGCTGAGGTGCGGAAGCAACTCAAGTGCCACTGACAGATGAATGGATAAGCAAAATGTGGCATTTATACACAATGGAATAACATTCAGCCATAAAAAGGAAAGATATACTTTTTTTAAGAGATAAGGTCTCATTCTGTTACCCAGGATGGAGTGCAGTGGCATGACTATGGCTCACTTCAGCCTCGAACTGGACTCAAGCCATTCTCCTGCCTCAGCTTCCTGGGAAGCTGGGATTACAGGCACATGTCACAATGCCTAACTAATGTCTTCTTAATTTTTTTTTTTGGTAGAGAAGAGGTCTTGCCATGTTGCCCAGGCTGGTCTTGAACTCCTGGTGTCAAGTGATCCTCCCCAGAAAGTACGGGATTACAGGCGTGAGTCACTGGGCCTGGCCTTTGAAACATTCTTTTAAACTTCTTTTAGAGATGGGGTCTTGGTATGCTGCCCAGGTGAAAGGAAAGAAATTCTGACATGGTACAACATAGATGAACCTTGAGGACATTATGCTAAGTGAAATAAGCCAGTCACAAAAGGATAAATACTGTATGATTACACTTAGATAAAGTACTTACTCAAATTTATAGAGAAAGAAAGGACAGTGGTCCTTGCCAGGGGCTAGGGGGTGGAGGGAATGGAGAGTTATGTTTTAATGGGTACAGAGTTTCAGTTTTACAAGATGAGTTATGGTGACTGATGATTGCACATGATGAAAGTATTTAATACCATTAAATTATATACTTAAAAATGTTTTTTATTTTATTTTTAAATTTTTAGATGGAGTCTCACTCTGTTGCCCAAGCTGGAGTGCAGTGGCGCAATCTCAGTTCACTGCAGCCTCTACCTCCCAGGTTCAAGCGTTTCTCTCACCTCTGCCTCCTGAGTAGCTGGAACTACAGGCACATGCCACCACGCCCGGCTAATTTTTGTTTTGTTTTTTTTTTTGAGACAGAGTTTTGCTCTTGTTGTCCAGGCTGGAGTGCAATGGCAGGATCTCGGCTAACTACAACCTCTGCCTCCTGGATTCAAGCGATTCTCCTGCCTCAGCCTCCCAAGTAGCGGACTGTTACAGGCATGTACCACCATGCCCGGCTAATTTTGTATTTTTAATAGAGATGGGGTTTCACCATGTTCGTCCGGCTGGTCTCGAACTCCTGACCTCAGGTGATCCACCTGCCTTGGCCTCCCAAAGTGCTGGGATTACATGCGTGAGGCACCCCGCCTGGCCTAATTTTTGTATTTTTAGTAGAGACAGGGTTTCACTATGTTGGCCAGGCTGGTCTCAAACTCCTGACCTCAGGTGATCCTCCCGCCTCGGCCTCCAAAGTGCTGAGATTACAGGCGTGAGCCACTGCGCCTGGCCTAAAATTGTTTTTTAGATGGTAAATTTTACGTGACACTAGTCCCCTCTTATCCAGTTCATCAGCAGTGATGGTGGCATATTGTTAGAATTGTGCTATTTTTTTTGAGTCTCGCTCTGTTGCCCAGGCTGAACCGCAGTGGGGCGATCTTGGCTCACTGCAAGTGATTCTCCTGCCTCAGCCTCTCGACTAGCTGGGATTACAGGCGCACGCCACCACACCTGGCTAATTTATTATTATTATTATTATTTTAGTTAGAGACGGGGTTTGGACATGTTTACCAGGCTGGTCTCGAACTCCTGACCTCAAGTGATTGCCGGCCTTGGCCTCTGAAAGTGTTGAGATTATAGGCAAGCCACGCCTGGCCTACTGTTAGGATTACGCTATTATGTTATTATTGTTGTTAATCTCTCACTGTACCTAATTTATAAATTCAATTTTCCTTTTCTTCCCTATTCTTTACAAAATGAATTGCAACTATAAAAATTAATGTTTATCATAGTGAGAAAGGAAAGGTAGCTCATAGCAACCTGTGCTATGTGAAGCAGGCAAAATTGATCAGGCTCAGCGAGAAGTCAGCATGGAACGGTTAGGGCCCATGCCTGGAGGCAACTGCTTAAAGGCATTTTGTACCTGACTAGGGTGCTGCTTCACCCATTATCTTCATGTGCCTAATATCTGTGAGACAAAGAACAATGTATAGCAGATCAATAGCTTGTTATTCTAATGTAAACTGGTAAACAATTTAGGAACTGCCTCTTCTTTTCCTTTGTTATTTCTTCAATCTTTTAAAAAATTTTTATCTTTTTTTTTTTCTTTTTGCGGCTCCTTCCAGAGCAGGGCTAACTCCTACGCAGTGTGCCCAGAGTCAGCCTGTTTTTTTTCAATATCTTCACGTCATCCAATCTTCTTTTCCTTTAAAAACCTACTTGTGGGCTGGTTGTGGTGGCTTGCACCTGTAATCCCAGCACTTTGCGAGGTCAAGGCAGGAAGATTGCTGAAGCCCAGCAGTTTGAGACCAGCCTGGGCAACATAGTGAAACTGTCTTCAAAAACAAAACAAAACAAACAAAAAAACCCCTACTTATAACTGCTGCTAATCAGAGTGTATTTTCACGGCAACTTGAATCTTTGCTCCTAAAGGCTGTCCTCAAAACCTGACCAAATATACTTTACTTAATGTTAAGTTTGCCTCAGTTTTTTCCTTTAGGTCAACAATAGGTATGACCCAAGAACCCTAGAACTTGGTCATAAAGCTTCTGGTGCCCTTGTCACTTCCCTCCTCTATTATTTCTGTGGCCCTCATCTCCTTTCCCACTGGGATTCCCAGGAAAAACTTTACAAATAGAGCAGTGACAGATGAGTTCCCCAAGGGCTTGCTTTGAGGTAGAAAGGAAGAGTGGTTTGAAATTCCCTTACCTTGTCATTATCATAAGAGTAATTAAGACATTAACTATATAATTGACTCTTTAACATCAAACTTTCACCACCCAAGAATGTAAACTGCAGGAAGAGAGGAACCTGTCTGTTGGTTCACAGATCAAGCACAGCCTAATATTTGACACACAGCAGCCCCTTGCTTAAATATGTGAATGAGTAAATGGAGTAGAAGCCTTAAGTGAAACTGTAAAAGAGCTCACCAAAGGTTTATGGTTGATTATCCCATCTCTCCCATCCCACTCACCTGTCCATTTCCTGGTTTGGACATGGTTTTGCGGGCTCGGTGGACCTTGGGCTGTCCCTCTGGGCTCGTGGTGGCTGGAGGGGGTTCAGACCCTGCTGCTGCAGCTCCCTGGGCTCCTGGCATACTCAGTAGCCTCATAGCCAAACTCTGGACAGATGGAGGTGATTTTCCCGCCCCTGTCATTGACATCTTGGCCCGGCTAGGACAGGAACCCCCCTTGCTGGGGGAAGAGGGGAATGACTTTGTGGCATGGCCTAGAAAACAAGCAAGCAAAAGGCAAGATAAGAAAGAAGGCAAGAGTCAGAAATTTCCCACCAACCCCCCAGGCTACCCAGCCTCTCACCCAGCAGGATCCGGCCCCCACGGAGGTCCCCATCTCCCTCAAGATTCTCAGATTCATCCCCAATGAGTGGTGTAGCCCCTACAGGGGTGTCAGCCCCCTCATCACCAACAGTGACAGTGACAGAGGCTGGAGATGAGGGGCCAGCAGGCTCCAGGGAGTCGGGGGTGGCCTTGGGCAGGGTTTCTTCACTACGAGGGGTGTCCCCCAAAGAGCCATGAACTGTAGAGGAAGAGAAAAAGTTCAGAGCTAAGGGCTCAGGAGATCCTGTGTTTAGGGAAGGTGACGGTCCAATTGGGGCCCGTTTTAGCTGCACTCACCTCTCTCGGTGGCTCCTCTGGTTTCCTTCTCCAGCAGCAGCGCCCCCATCTCAGCGGGGGCCTCCCCCTGGGAGGGGAGACAAGGGACAGGAGGGCTGGTCAGCCCAGTAGAGAGTTGGGGGGTCCAGGATGCCTGGGCCCTGGGAAGAGAGAGTAGGCTCCGGGGCCTACCTCTTCCTCTGTGGGGCCCCCCCCTTCCGCGGCCTCGGCTGCCCGGAGGGGCCGCACGACCCCTCCCCCGGGCCCGCATCAACCCCCTCCCTCTCGGTAGACCCCGCATCTCTGGGGCCGAGAGAAGAGGAGGGGGAGGGGGCGGGGCCTCCGCGCCCCGGCCCCGCCCCCTCCTCCCGGCTGCACGCGCCGCTCCCCCTTTGTCCCCCAGGCCGCGGGGACCCCGGGCACCAACCCCTCCAGCACCCGCTGCCCCCCAGCCCGGTGGACGGCCCCTCGTGCCCCTCACGCGTGCTCCTGGGGCCCCGGCGCCCGTCGCCCACTCAGGGGCAGCCGGCGGCTGCACGCGCGCCTCCGTGCCCACTCCCCCCACCTCCCACACCCTGGTCCCCTCATCCGCCCCCGGTGCTGGCCCCCTGGATTGCTGCAAGTCCCGCCCGGGCCCCCCGGCCCCGTTGCACCCCCGGAGCATTGCACGGGCGCGCGCTTCCCCCGGGCGCGCGCGCGGGCATGCACCCGCCTCTCCCCCTCCCCTTCCGCACCTCGGCGGCCGCCGCCGCTGCAGCTCCCGCCGCCGCCGCCATCGCCGCTTGCGCTGGGGGCCGAGCCGGCGCGCGGCCGCCCCGGGTCACGTGGGCGAGGGAGGGAGGGCGAGGAGGAGCCTTAAAGGAGCCGCTACATGCTTTTTGGCCATTTTCCCCTGAGAGCGGCCTCGGAGATGGCTGTGACTGTCCTAAGCTGGGAGCTGCAAGGGAGAATTCCTGTCATTCCTGGCCTCAGTTCTGCAGGGACCGAGGGCGAGACACGCCTGGGCCCAGGTGTGGCGTCTCTGTCCCCATCTGGTTTTAGGTAACAAGCGGAGCTTCTGAACTTCTCGGCTCTCGGCAGCGGCTGTATTTCCTCTGGCCTGGTTGGGCTTTTCCCGCCTCTGGTTGCTTTTCTGCCTTTCTAGTTTTTGGGTTACCAGATAGAAGGCTTGGCCTCAGTTTTGGCCTCGCCTTTTTGCTCTTTCTAACGAGCACGAAGGGGCGATAGGGACGCGGAGGACACCTTTATTCTTGGCTGGTTCTAGCATGCTGCTTCATGTCCCCTGGAGCAGCGTGCCCTTCTGAAAACCTGTGGCTAAATGTCTCTTCTGTTTATATCAGGCGTGTTACACCTTCACACGCACTAGGGATCCAGGTAAGCCCAGCGGCCCGAACGTCATTACTGACTGGTGACACTGCAGTAAGTAAACCTTTTTTGCCGAACACTTCATAAGCACAGTCAGGTACTCCGTGGGTCATAGCCCAGCGGACAATTTAAGTATAAATGATATACACCAAGATAGACAATCTCGATAGCTGTATTTAGGGTACCATCCCTTTAGGTATTACGTTTTGGTCGAGTTTGGAAAAGATCTGTATGATTTCACACGCAGTATTTGACACAGGCAGGTGGGGCACCTGAGGCCAATTAAAGGCCTTCTGGGAACTGTAGTTCTCTTTGGTTAACTATTCCAGAGCTTTCTGGGAATTGTAGTTTTCCCTGCACCTTAATCCAAACTTAGCTTTTTTTTTTTTTTTTTAGCTTTCCTGAAGACATGACCTATTTACCCCAGACAAAATATGACCAAACAGACTCCTGCTTACAATTTCCGTGGGCAGGTTGGCCACCTGTAGCTCATCCCTAGCACTGATCCTAAGTCCCTCAAATAGAGTTCATGTGCATCCCCACGACTGCCAATCACTTGTACTGTGAGGTACCTGGCTAAGTGTTGAGATTGCAGAACTGGTGGAGGGCTGGGGGTGGGGACTTGGGGGAGTCCCTGACCAGAGGAGCTCACTTGTCACACTCCTCTCCCATGTTTAGGGCTGGGCTCCTTCAGGCAAGGGATATGCAGAGTTGTGACCTCTAGGTATTAAGAACGCAGCATCACAGGGAGAGGCTGTCTAGGGCAGGATAGTCATGTACACGCAGTTGCCAGAGTGTAAAGGAAAAAAAAAAGTTTTTTTTTGTTTTTTATTTTGTGGAAAACAAAAGCAGAAAAACTAAAACCCCAAACTCCAGAAAAAATCCTAAAAAATATGTTTTTTTCTTAAAAAATACTGTATGTCTCTACTCCTCTCCCTCCCTCCCAACAGCCCTTCTTGTGTTCTTTCTTTTCTAAGTGCCCTATCCCCCCCACCCCCATGACTATCCATTGTTTCTTGCTATTGTACCCCCACTTCCCAATATCTACCCAGGATGCGCACCCCACGTTCTCTTACCTGGCGTCTTACTTTGTTCTCCCTCAAATTTCAGCAAGCCTCATACTCGCAGTCTCATTTCCCCAGCATGCAAGAACTGTCTCCCACTTCCTTTTCTGGGACTCAGTAATCTTTTCCCCTTACCACTCCCTCACTCCAGGTCTATTCTAAGCAGGAGCATGTCCTCCTGCCAAATTCCCTCCCTGTTCCCACCCACCCCCCAACCCTTCTTATCTCGAGAAATGTCAGAACCTTCCCCTGGGCAGCCTTAGCCAGGAATAAAACATTTTTGTCTTCCCTCATTCTATAGGACCCTTTTCCCTCCCTCCACATATACATGCACTTCTAAGAGAAGGAAATCTTTCTCTGGGACCCCGTATTCCCCTGGCCTCCAAGAACCCTTTTCCCAGCTCCAGATTCTTGCACTCTCAAGAGCAAGTCTCTCCAAGGAATCATCTTCCCTCTCTCAGGATGTGTGCATCTGCTCAGCCTCCCACTCTTACCTTTCTGCCCCAGACCCCCCACCCCCCAATTCTCCTGGGCCAAAGAGCCCTTTTTCCACGCAGCCCAGGGGCCCCAGCCTCCTGGCCTCCACGCCTGCGCGGCTAGCGGATGAGGACGTTAATCTCGGCCACACTGGCCTCCAGCACGTTCTCGGCCGTGGTCTTGCCGTGTTGCTCCTTGAGGTGCCGCCTAATGGCAGGCTTGTGGGCGAAGCGCACGTCGCAGTAGGAGCAGCGGTAGGGCCGCGCTCCCGAGTGCAGGTTGAGGTGGTCGTGAAGGGTGGACTTCTGTGTGAAGCACTTGCCGCAGATGCCGCACGAGTGTGACTTGACACCACGATGCACGTTCATGTGGCGGTTGAGGTTGCTGCTGTGGTTGAACTGCTTGCCACAGCGAGGGCACATGAAGATGAAGTGCTGCGCCCGCATGTGGAAGACCAGCTTCTCCACGCCCTGGAACACTTCCGGGCACTTCGTGCACTTGATGTTCTTTAAGGGGTTTCCACCTGAGAAGCCCCCAGGCAGGGGTCCCCGGCTGCCCCCCGCCCCCAGGCTGCCCCCCGCCCCCCGGGCAGCCATGGCCACCGCTGCTGCTTCCACCAGGCCCGAGGTGGCCCCCACGCTGGCCCGGCCTCCGGGAATCAACAGCAGGCCCTCCCCTTCTGCATCTTCCGACAGGCTATAGCAGGCCTTCACCACACCCTGCGGTGGGGCTACAGTGCTGGGGGGAACGCTGCTCTGGGCCAGCTCCCCAAGGTGGCCACCCACGGAGCCTCCAATGCCCAGACCCCCTCCCAGGCCTCCAGGGGGTTTGAGCCGGTGTGCCACCTCCAGGGCCGACTCCACCTTGACGATGCAGATGTCAGACACGTCCTCATCCTCATCCTCATCCTCTTCCTCGGCTTTCAGCTCCAAGTCTTCATCCAGTGGGAACTCCAGCTTCACTGGCCGCAGGAGTGGAGGGGGTAGAGGAGGTGGGGGTGGGGGCTTCGGGGCTGGCTTTGGGGTCCTGGCTGGAGGGAGGAGGGACTTGGTGGCGCTGATGCTGCTCACAAGGCTAGCCTCACTGACCCCATCCTCTTTGAGGCCTATTTTGGGCTCAATGAACTGGCTGAGGGCATTCCGGCATTTCTCCACCACGTGCTCCATCTGCAGGTAGGAGGCGGCTGTAAGGTAGTTGACGATGTCCCTAACAGCGAATTCCAAGGCGCCCGTGTAGCAGGAGAGGAGCAAGTCGGCCACGATGCGTGCACTGTGCATCAGGGAGACCTGCAGCTCCGAGCTGGGGTTCAGCAGGAACTGGTCCCGCAGGAAGGGTGAGCAGGCGGCCAAGATGACCTTGTGGCCTCGAAACTTGAGGCTGTCGGCCACAATGGTCACGTCGCAGAACCGCTCCTCTGCCCGGAGCTGGTTCATGTTCCGTAGCGTTGCGGCCTCGTGGCCGGGCAGCTGGAAGCGCAGGACTTCCACCCCAGAGGCCATTGTGGCGGGGGTGGGCAACCCTGGTTGGGAAGGAAACCGGTCAGAGACAAAGGTCTCTGGCTCTCCGAAGCCAAGGCTCCAGGACCCTCGCCCCCATTCTTGCCCAGCCCCCCGGCATCCGATCTCCCGGTCTTCAGATTTCTTCCTCAGTTTCCCCAACCCTGGGGAGGTGCTGTCCCTCTGAGAGGAGGGAGGCGTGGTTCTCGGGGGCGGGGCAGCGGCGTCCACACCCCCCAGCCCAGCAGCCCGCTAGGATGGGGCGAGCCCGCGCGCCCACGGTGGAAGGACGGAGAAAAAGGGGGGCCAGAGGCCTGGGGCTCTGGACTCCAAGGTGGCCCCGGTTGCAGGCTCTTCTCACCCCGCCCCCTTTACCGGCTGCCTCATTCCTCCGCCCCCCCCTTACACGTTTGCACGCGCTTTTCACGTCCTCCCCCCCGCCGCCAGCACGCACCGTGCACGCCCTGCCCCCACGCTCAGAGCTCCGTGGCACGCCCCCCCAGCCCCACGACCCTGAGTGCACGCTCCTCTCACCTGGCCCGGTTCCGCGCGCTGTTTTTTTAATCCCTTATTTTCCCCACCCCCCCCCGGGGCCGGCAGCGACCCCCACACACGGGCAGGGCCTGGGCAGCGCGCAGGCGCGGGGATGCACGGGACACGCGCGCGCGCGCGGGGCCGGCTCCGCGTGGGCGTAAGGGGGGAGGGGCGGGGGCGGCTCGTGCCGTGTGTTCCAGGCCCCGCGCGCGCGGCGGCGGCGGCGTCGGCTAGGACTCGGGGAGGAGGAAGAGGGGAGGGAATTAAAGGAGCAGGATCCCCCCTTCCCGACCCCCCTTTCTTCACCAGCACCCCCACGCGGTTAAAGGGCCGGACGGCCTTGCCTCCTCTTTGGCCGGGATTATTTGTCCGCCAGAGCGGAAATACGTTCCACACCCCCCTCTTTCTCGCTCCCCCTCCTCTGTACCTCCAAGCCCCGCGGCCAGTTTGCGCGTGCGTGCCAAGTGCCGCGCGGAGGCCCGCTCACTCGGGCCCGCCCCCCAATCCCGGCTGCCCATGGCGCTACTCGCTCCGCGTCCCCGCGCCCCGCCCGCGCCGCATCCCGCAGCGCGCGCGCGCACCCGTTCTCTCGGCTGCGGGCGCTGCCACCTGCTCCCAGGGGTGGTGCGTCTCCGGTCCAGCTGTGCCGAGCGCTGCCCTGGGTGCATCCGTGGCACCTCTCAGGGCCCCATCCGCCCCGTGGCTAACAGAGCTGTTGGTAGCTATTACCCACGCCTGCCTCCTCTGCTGAGTGTGCTCACAGTTGCTCCAGACACATTCCCAGGCTTTTCCAACTCTTGTAAAGCTAGTAACCGCCTCAGCCCTTCAGGCCTGAAATATGATTTCACTTTCCACAAAGCCAGACGATCCAGTGCCCTCAACTTTCCTCCACTCCATGTCAGTCCTTTAAAATCACACCCGCCCTCCCCTCCATTCTCAGGATTGATCCCAACTTCTTGCCAAGGCAGTCGCCCTCCGCTTGTGCTATCGATGACCTTGCCCATTTCACCTTTAGTATATAATTAACCCTAGGACTAATTTTAATGATGTGATTTATTATGTTAGTATGATTCTACTCTAATCTTCCACCGCTCCGTCCCCCTTATTCCTCACCTCTCCTCCAGACTGACAAGGTCCAGCTCTAAACAAAACTTCCCTTCAACACTGCGCCCGGGCCTTCTCTTTCTCTTGTCTCTCTCAGACTAAGTTATAGTCTCCACAGCTTCAGCGACAGCACTTAGGAGTGTCTTGAAGGCTGGTGCCTTCCCTTCCACTTCCTCGTACCTACACCCACTTCCCCACCTATCCAAGTCCGCGTGAAGATGCCACTGTTTCCTGCCAATTGGATTTCTTTTTTACGTCCTTCAGGAGACTAGTGCGTTTTCCTTACATTTCAATTCTGATGAAGTTTCTTATTATGTGTTCAATATCTGGTTTCCCCATTAGACTATAAACTTCTTGGTTGCAGGAATTATGTTGTGGGTTTTGTTTTGCAAATAAAAATCATGCAATAGGGAGGGTGTGGTGGCTCACGCCTGTAATCCCAGCACTGTGGGAGGCCGAGGCAGGTGGATCACCTGAGGTCAGGAGTTCGAGACCAGCCTGGCCAACATGGTGAAACCCTGACTCTACTAAATATACAAAAATTAGCTGGACGTGGTGGCAGGTGCCTGTAATCCCAGCTACTGGGGAGGCTGAGGCAGGAGAATCGCTTGAACCTGGGAGGTGAAGGTTGCAGTGAGCCTAGATTGCGCCATTGCACTCCAGCCTGGGCGACAGAGCAAGACTCCTTCTCAAAACAAAACACCAAAAAAGGTCATGCAACAAATGATTGTTGAAGTAATTCCTCTTTGGCTCAGCCAGCATCCACCCATAAAAAGTTTGTTCTTGAGCTGAAACTGAATTCTTGAACTCAAGGGATGCTGTTTGGCAGGAGGGTGGAGGCAGCGTAGACAGTGTTTAGGTGGTACCTTGACTTTTTGCCTTTTTCTTTTAAATTCTCTGATTTGTATGCCCGCACCCAGTTCCCTCTGTTGAATCTAAGAGTCTGTTCTAAACTGCTCTCTTTGTATTTAGGCCTTGTAGATTTGAGGAAGAACACCTGATTTTGTGTCAGACGCACCTAGGCTTAAAGCCACATTCCTAGGAGTTTCTGAGCCTACTCTGGCTCAGAAGGCTGCCAGATTCGCAAATCATTAAAAAAATAAAATAAAAGCCCTATTCCTGTACCAAATGAGGCCCACTGGGCAAGTTACTTAATTCTCTGAATCACAGTGTCCTTATCTTTGTCTCCCCCGCCCATCCTTAGCTCATCTGAAAGCATTTTTATCTTGAAGGCCCTGATCTCTCACAGGGCTAATGTGAGGTTTAAATGAGCCTGGCATGCAGTAGTTGCTGAGTAAACAATAGCTCTGTTCTCCTTTTCCTAATCTGGGAAACGGACTATGAAATTTTCAAAAGAATTTTATTTTATTTTAATTAATTAATTAATTTATTTAGCTGGAGTTTTGCTCTTGTCACCCAGGCTGGAGTGCAATAGCACGATCTTGGCTCACTGCAACCTCCGCTTCCCAGGTTCAAGTGATTCTCCTGCCTCAACCTCCCAAGTAGCTGGGATTACAGGTGCCCGCCACCATGCCTAGCTAATTTTCGCATTTTTAGTAGAGACGGGGTTTCACCATGTTGGCCAGGCTGGTCTCGAACTCCTGACCTCGGGTGATCCACCTTGCTCAGCCTCCCAAAGTGTTGGGATTACAGGCGTGAGCCACTGCGCCTGACCCAAAAGAACTTTAAAAATTCTGTTTTTCTATCTCATCTCTTCTTTTCCGCATTGCCAAACTTCTCAGAAGAATAGTTCACATTCCAGTGAGAGCAGAAATACAAAAAGCTGTCAAGTTAAGAATTAGAGTTTGTAAAATTTTGTTTCTTGTCCCTTTCTTGCTACTTTTCCTTTCTAGGAATGTAGATGGGACAGGGGGCCTAATCTCAGCCCATGGCTCAAGACAGGTAGTCCTTGGTGGCAGGTGGAGTTGACAGCCAATGAATCCTTCAAGTGTCCAGCCCACCCAGTTACAACTCTGCGTAAAAACAAGCAGAGGTGCACAAACTCTTTTCCATGTAGTCTGGTGGAGAGATGATGTGGAGCCATTTCCCATGCATCCCATCCAGGGGGTTTACAATCATCTAGATCCTTGTCCCTTCTTCCCCAACTTCTGCCAGTATAAAACCAGGGGCTTTCCTGTCCTTAGCTTGCAGTACCAAATGCCTTGGTGTGGTGTCAAGAACAGATAAATTTAGGAGATACTTTTAGGATTTTTGGGTCAGGCTCAATGGTTCATTCCTGTAATCCCAGCACTTTGGGAGGCCGAGGCAGGAGGATCCCTTGAGCCCAGCAGTTTGAGACCAGTCTGGGCAACATAGCAAGACCCCATCTCTACAAATAATAAGAAAATTAGCAGGGCATGATGGTGTGTATGTGCTTGGGATCCCAGTTACATGAGAGGCTGAGGTGGGAGGACTGCTTAAGCCCAGGCAGTTGAGGCTGCAGTGAACCATGATAGTGCCACTGTACTCCAGCCTGGGCAACAGAATGAGACCCTGTCTTTTAAAAAAAAATTAGGATTCTTAGTGAGCTTTAGAAATAAAATCTGGGCTGGGCACTGTGGCTTATGCCTGTAATCCCAGCACTTTGGGAAGCTGAGGTGGGAGGATCACTTAAGGCCGGGAGTTTGAGACCAGCCTGGGCAACAAAGCGAGACACCTGTCTCAAAAATAATAATAAATAAAAGTAAATACATTTTTTAAAGGAAATAAAATTTGACTAGGGATGCAAGGAATAACTAGGAGACAAAAGGTCCAGGTTCCAGTCCATCTTGAAGTCATCAAGGCTCCCCAGGTTTCAGTATTCTCTTTAATAAAATGGAGGGATTACTCTCTGAAGTATTTTCCAGTCCTATGAGTCCATAGCAGCTTACTTTGAAAAGGGGTGTTTATGTTTGTGGGCATCTCTGAGAGAAGCTAGCTCACAGCTTAGAGCACTACCCTTGGCTACTCATAGAGGTAAGGAGTGGCCTTGATAATCCAAAACCGTAGCAAACATTGGACATTTGTCTAAGACATTCAAAGTATTTTAGGCTGTGGGCTTACTTTTTACAACGATGCTTAGCACGTACTAGAATAACCATATTTCCTGAGCAATCTATAGGAAAGGAAGAGGTAAGTCAGCCTGGACTTTTAAATCCATAGGCTGATGAAACTGTCTTACATTACAACAAAACCTCCAACTTCTTTCTCTTTCTCCTTTGATCTGCACTCAGCTCTGCCCTCAGCGCAGGAACCCTGGTAAAAACTGCAGGATGTTTTGGCAATGTTGGAAGGGGCTTACTGCTTGGGGAAAGAAGCCATGTGAAAACAAAGTGCCTGCACCACTCCCATCCATCTGCAAAACCACCTTTTCTGAACTCCCATCCATCCCCCTTGACTGCTCCTCAATGCTGGCTCCTCCTCCTTCTTCAGAGCTCCTTATCCCTAGCTCTTCGGAGCCCTCTCCCAGCCTCAACCTGCCTCCAGACAAACTCTTCCCTCCCCCTCCTACCTCGGAGGGAATTTACTCCCTGCAGCCCACCACCTTTGCCATCGTCCAAGTCCTCCACACACCCTTGCTGACTCTGCCCAGATCCAGGTCTATCTGGGGAAATGGAGGCAGATTCTCCCAGCACCTTGTGAATTCCAGACAGAAAAAGACTCTTCCACTTCTCGACAAATATTCTATCCTCTGAGCCTCACCAAGTCTGCTCTGCTACCCTATGTCATCCTTGCTGCTTGAGCAACTGACTTTCGGGCCTGTGATACCTGCCTGGATCAGGTTGTCCTCCCCAGGCCTGCCTGTGTCCCTGCAAATGACCTAATCCATATCCCAAGTTTAAAAAAAAAATTGTTCATTTTATTTTTTTCATGGAGTCATTCGTGAGAGCAGAAATACAAAAAGCTGTCAAGTTAAGAATTAGAGTTTGTAGGGCCGGGTGCAGTGGCTCACACCTGTAATCGCAGCACTTTGGGAGGCTGAGGTGGCCGGATCATTTGAGGTCAGAAGTTTGAGAACAGCCTGGCCAACATGGTGAAACCTCGTTTCTACTGAAAATGCAAAAAAAATTAGCTGGGCGTGGTGGTGCATGCCTGTAATCCCAGCTACTCAGGAGGCTGACGCAGGAGAATTGCTTGAACCTGGGAGGCAGAGGTTGCAGTGAGTTGAGATCACGCCACTGCACTCCAGCCTGGGTGACAAGAGTGAAACTCTGTCTTAAAAAAAAAAAAAGCAAAATAAAAGCATTAGAGTTTGTAAAATTTTGTTTACAAACTCAAAATTCAAAGTTCAAAATTCAAAATGTAGTTTTGTTCAAAATTCAAAATGTGTAAGTACAATTCCAAATTCAAATTGTAAAGTTTTGTTCAAAATTTAAAAAATATAAGAGGGTACAAGGCTGGGTGTGGTGGCTTACGCCTGTAAACTCAGCACTTTTGGGAAGCCAAGGGAAGAGGATCACTTGAAACCAGCCTGGGCAACAAGGCAAAACCCAGTCTCAGAAAAAAAAAAAATAGCTGTGGGAGGTGGTGTTGCCTGTGGTCGCAGCTATTCAACAGGCTGAAGTGGGAGGATTGATTCAGCCCAGGGAGGAGAAGGCTGCAGTGAGCCTTGTTCGCACTGCTGCACTCCAGCTTGGGTGATGGCGCAAGACCCTGTCAAAAAAAAAAAAAAAAAAAAAAAGTGGTTTCTTTTGCTCAGGCTGGAGTACAGTGGTGCAAAGAAGGCTCACTGCAGCCTCGACCTTCCTGGACTAATTTATTTATTTATTTTTTAGACAGAGTCTTGCTCTGTCGCCAGGCTGGGGTGCAGTGGCACAATCTCGGCTTACTGCAACCTCCACCTACCAGGTTCAAGTGATTCTCCTGCCTCAGCCTCTGGAGTAGCTGGGACTACAGGCGTGCGCTACCACTTCTGGCTTTTTTTTTTTTTTTTTTTTTTTTGAGATGGAGTTTCGCCCTTGTTGCCCAGGCTGGAGTGCAATGGTACAATCTCAGCTCACTGCAACCTCTGCCTCCCAGGTTCAAGCAATTCTCCTGCCTCAGCCTCCTGAGTAGCTAGGATTACGGACGTCTGCCACCACGCCCAGCTAATGTTTTGTATTTTTAGTAGAGATGGGGTTTCACCATGTTGGCCAGGCTGGTCTTGAACTCCTGACCTCATGATCCGCCCACCTCAGCCTCCCAAAGTGCTGGGATTACAGGCATGAGCCGCAGCACCCGGCCATTTTTTTTTTTTTTTTAATTAAAAGTGGCAAGACTGGGTCTTCCCGTGTTGCCCAGTCATTGATCTTGAATTCTTGGGTTCAAGTGATACTCCTGCCTTGGCCTCCCAAAGTGTTGAGACTACAGGCATGAGCCACCGTGCTCGGCCCAGATAAATCTTTTTATAAAAGTTAGAGTCAGTAGATACAGCAAATTTCATTGTTGTCTTATTTTAAGAAATTGTTGGCTGGGTGGGGTGACTCACTCCTGTAATCCCAGCACTTTGGGAGGCTGAGGTGGGCGGATCACCTGAGGTCAGGAGTTCGAGGCCAGCCTGGGCCAACATGGTGAAACCCAATCTCTACTAAAAACACAAAAATTAGCTGGGTGTGGTGGGGGTGCCTGTAGTCCCAGCCACTTGGGAGGCTGAGGCAGGAGAATTGCTTGAACCCAGGAGATGGAGGTTGTAATGAGCCGAGATTGCACCACTCCACTCCAGCCTGGGTGACAGCATGAGACTTCATCTCAAAAAAAAAAAAAAGAAAAAAAGAAATTGTCAAAGCCATCCCAACCTTCAGCAACCACCACCCTAATCAGTCAGCAGCTATCGATATCAAGATAAAATCCTCCACCAGCAAAAATGTTACAACTCACTAAAGACTCAGATGACTGTTAGCATTTTTTAGCAATACAGTATTTTAAAATTAAGGTTACATACATTGTTTTTAGACGTATGCTATTGCACACTGAATAGACTACAGTACAGTGTAAACATAACTTGTGTGCACTGGGAAACCAAAAAGTTGTTGATATGACTGGCTTTATTGAGGGGATCTGGAACGAAGCCCAAAATATCTCTGAGGTATGACCGTGTATACTTCATTTGCTTATTGTAATAGTTTCAGTATCTATGCAGTTGTAGGTTTTCCCGGACAGTTTAGTTTTGTCTGTTTGACCATCACACAGATGAATCATACTGTACATGTTCTGGGGCTGGCCTTTTCACTCAACATTATGGTTTTGTTGACTTGTGTAGCTGTAATTCATTCATTGTCTTTTAATTGGATGCTTATACTAGAATTTGTTTGTATACCTATTTACAGTTCTTTTGGATATATACCTAGGAGTGGAACTGTTGGATTATATGGCAATTATATGTTAAATTTTTAACGTATTATTATTATTATTTTTTTTTAGACAGGATCTCTGTTGACCAGACTGGAATGCAGTGGTGTGATCTTGGCTCACTGCAACCTCCACCTCCCAGGCTTAGCCTCCCGCCTTAGCCTCCCGAGTAGCTAGGACTACAGGTATGCACCACCATGCCTGGCTAATTTTTGCATTTTTGTAGAAACAGGGTTTCACCATGTTGCTCAGGCTGGTCTGGAACTCCTGAGCTCAAGGGATCCGCCTGCCTTGGCCTCCCAAATTGTTGAGATTATAGGCGTGAGCCATGGCATTTGCTCCCCCGCCCACCTCTTTTTTTTTTTTTGTAGAGATGAAGTCTTGCTGTGTTTCCCAGGCTGGTCTCGAACTGCTAGGCTCAAGCGATCCTCCAGCCTTAGCTTCCCAAATTCCTCTCAGCCTGGGATCACAGGCGTGAGCCACTGTGCCCACCCTATATGTTAAACCTTTTGAGGAACTGCCAAACTGTTTTCCACAGCAGCTGCACCATTTTATGTTCCCACCAGGAGATTGTACACAAGCTTCAATTTCTCCATATCCTTGCCAACAGTTGTTATTTTCTGTTTTTTTTTGTTTTTTGTTTTTTTTTGAGACAGCGTCTCACTCTGTTGCCCCGGCTAGAGTACAGTGGTGCGATCTTGGCTCACTGCAACCTCTGCCTCCCGGGTTCAAGGGATTCTCCTGCCTCAGCCTCCTGAGTAGCTGGGACTACAGTCACGCGCCACCACGCCTGGCTAATTTTTGTATTTATAGTAGAGATGGGGTTTCACCATATTGGCCAGGCTGGTCTCGAACTCCTGACCTTGTGATCCGCCCACCTCAGCCTCCCAAAGTGCTGGGATTACAGACGTGAGCCACCGCGCCTGGCTTGTTTTTTTTTTTAAATAGACATTCTAGTTGATATGAAGTTGTACTCATTATAGTTTTATTTTCATTTACTTAATGACTAATGATGTTGAGCATCTTTTCATGTCCTTGTTGGCCATTTGTGTGTCTTCTCTGGAGAAATATCTATTCAAGTCCTTTGCTCATTTTTTTTTTTTTGACAAGGTCTCACTCTGTTGCCCAGGCTGGAATGCACAATCATGACTCACTGCAGGCTTGACCTCCCCAGGAACAGGTGATCCTCCCACCTCAGCCTCCAGAGTAGCTAGGACTACAGGCACACGCCACCACACCCAGCTAATTTTTGTTATTTGTTGTAGAGACAGGGTTTTGCCATGTTGCTCAGGCTTAGAAGGCTTTCAAGCACAAAATGTATTACATTAGGATAATGTCTTGGGGGTAGAAATAGAACTATGAAAATAAGAATTCAGAAGAAATAGAACAATGTGAAATTTCTGACTGTTAAAGAAGATTATAATCATGTACTTTAAAAATGAATCATGAGCCCAGCACGGTGGCCCACGCCTGTAATCCCAGCACTTTGGGAGGCTGAGGCAGATGAATCACTTGAGGTCAGGAGTTCAAGACCAGCCTGGCCAACATGATGAAACCCCATCTCTACTAAAAATACAAAAATTAGCCAGGCGTGGTGGCGCATGCCTGTAATCCCAGCTACTCGGGAGGCTGAGGCAGGATAATCTCTTGAACCCGGGAGGCAGAGGTTGCAGTGAGCCGAGATCGTGCCACTGCACTCCAGCCTGGGTGACAGAGCAAGCTTCCATCTTAAAAATAAAATAAAAAATAAATAAATAAAATGAATTGGGCTGGGTGTGGTGGCTCATGCCTGTAATCCCAGCACTTTGGGAGACCAAAGCGGGTGGATCACCTGAAGTCAGGAGTTCGAGACCAGCCTGAGCAACAAGGTGAAACCCCGTCTCTACTAAAAATACGAAAATTAGCCAGACGTGGTGGCAGGCACCTGTAGTCCCAGCTACTCGAGAGGTGGAGGCAGGAGAATTGCTGGAACCTGGGAGGCGGAGGTTGCAGTGAGCCGAGATGGCGCCACTGCACTCCAGCCTAGGAGACAGAGGGAGACTCTTGTCTCAAAAAATAAACAAATAAATACATAAAAAAAAAAATAAAATGAATCATGAAGGGAATGGTTAAAAAGTGAAATAAGACTTTTTAAAAAAGATCCATGTTTACAACACACTGGAATGGCATTCTTTTGCAACTAAACATTTGGGGAAAGTTTTAGATAGCAGCATAAAAACATGCAAGGGGTACATAATTTGCAAAATTCTTTTAATGTGAGCAAAAGGGTTTGAAGATTACATGCTTCTTGAAATCAGCATGCACATGAGTCATCTGGAGTTTTAATTCGGAGTCTGAGTCAGTAGGTCTGGGTGGGGCCTGAGATTCTGTGTTTCTTTCTTTTTTTTTTTTTCTCTCTCTTTTTTTTTTGAGACAGAGTCTCGCTCTGTTGCCCAGGCTGGAGTGCAGTGGCACACTGCAGCCTCCGCCTCCCGGGTTCAAGCAATTCTCCTGCCTCAGCCTCCCAAGTAGCTGGGACTACAGGCACATGCCACCACGCCTGGCTAATTTTTGTATTTTTAGTAGAAATGGGGTTTCACCATGTTGGCCAAGCTGGTCTCGCACTCCTGACCTCAGGTGATTTGCCCGCCTCAGCCTCCCAAAGTGCTGAGATTACAGGCATGAGCCACCATGTCTGGCCCTTTTTTTTTTTTTTTTTTTCCAATTTGAGACCGGGTCACTACGTTGCCAAGGCTGGTCTCTAACTCCTGGGCTCAAGCGATCCGCCCACTGCAGTCTCCCAAAGTGCTGGGATTACAGGCGTTGAGCCACCGTGCCTGGCCAGATTCTGCATTTCTACAAGTTCCTGCTGATGCTGATGCTGTCTGTCTGTGGACCACAGTCTGAGTAGCAAGCATCCACATATTCGTAAGAGTGGAGTTGCTGGATGTTGAGGTCTGCACCTGTTCAGCTTCCCTGCTAATGCTAAACTATTTTCTGAAGCAGTTGTACACCAGCCATGAGACTGTTGCTTCTTGGGAAAAAAGATATAAAGGCTTCAAATTTAATGGATATTATTCAGTGCTCCTCTTACTTGAGCTTTCTGCAGTCTGTGACATACTTGACCACACTGTTTGATCCACTGCTTTTCCCTGGTTTCCATGACACCCCTGTATCCAGGCTCCCTTCCTTCTATAATTTCAGTCTGTTCTATAAACCCTCACTCCTTTCCTGTCTTGACCTTTTCCTCTGTTGATGCCTTTGGCCTTCTAGGCCTTTATCTCATTCTCTCTGGGTGGTACCATGTGCTCTTTAGAGATTGGTTACCAGGCCGGGCACGGTGGCTCACACCTGTAATCCGAGCACTTTGGGAGGCTGAGGCAGGTGGATCACCTGAGGTCAGGAGTTCGAGACCAGTCTGGCCAACATGGTGAAACCCTGTCTCTACTGAAAATACAAAAAATTAACCAGGGTAATGGTGTGTGCCTGTAATCCCAGCTACTCAGGAGGCTGAGGCAGGAGAATCGCTTGAACCTGGGAGGCAGAGGCTGCAGTGAGCTGAGATCATATCACTACACTCCAGCCTGAGTGACAGAGCGGGACTCCATCTCAAAAAAGAAAAAAAAAAAAAAAGAGAGATTGGTTACCACATTGATGACTCTGTGATGGTTAATTTTATGTGTCAGGCCAAGCGCAGTGGCTCACGCCTGTAATCCCAGCACTTTAGGAGGGCAAGGTGGGAGGATTACTTGAGCCCAGGATTTCAAGACCACTCTGGGTAAGATGGTGAAACCCTGTTTCCACAAAAAAAAAAAAAAAAAAAAAAAAGATGTGTCAATTTGGCAAGGCTATGGTGCCCTTGGGCACTGTATATATACACATTTGCATTATTATTTATCTTAATGAGATAGACTCTCACTATGTTCTCCAGGCTGAACTTGAACTCCCAGTCTCAAGTGATTCTCCTGCCTCAGCCTCCTGGGTATCTGGGACTACAAGCATGCCACCATGCCTGACTGTAGTCTGGATACTTCAGTGAGGGCATTTTGTAGATAACACTGACATCTTGGCTGGGCACAGTGGCTCACGCCAGTAATTGGAGCACTTTGGGAGGCCAAGGTGGGCAGATCACCTGAGGTGAGGAGTTCGCGACCAGCCTGGCCAACATGGTGAACCGCTATCTCTACTAAAAATACAAAAATTAGCTGGGTGTGGTGGCAGGCACCTGTAATCCCAGCTAGTTGGGAGGCTGAGGCACAAGAATCATTTGAACCTGGAAGGCAGAGGTTACAGTGAGCTGAGACCGTGCCATTGCACTCCAGTCTGGGCAAGTCTGGGCAACAAAAGCGAAACTCCATCTCAAAAAAATAAAACGAAGCAAAGACATTGCCATCTATACTCAGCTGACGTTAAGTAAAGGAGTTTACTCTTTTTTTTTTGAGATGGAGTCTCATTCTGTCACCCTGGCTGGAGTGTAGTGGCGTGATCTCGGCTCACTGCAACCTCCGCCTCCTGGGTGTAAGCAATTCTCCCGCCTCAGGCTCCCGTGTAGCTGGGACTACAGGCACCACACCCGGCTAATTTTTGTATTTTTAGTAGAGACAGGATTTCACTATGTTGGCCAGGCTGGTCTTGAACTCATGACCTCGTGATCTGCCCGCCTTGGCCTCCAGAAGTGCTGGGATTACAGGCATGAGCCACCGTGCCTGGCCCTTTTTTTTTTAAGACAGAATCTCGCTCTGTCACCCAGGCGCGATCTTGGCTCACTGCAACCTGCGATCCGACTCCCTGGTTCAAGTGATTGTCCTGCCTCAGCCTCCCAAGTAGCTGAGATTACAGGCACATGCCAACACGCCCAGTTAAGTTTTGTATTCACCGTGTTTCACTATGTTGGCCAGGATGGTCTCAATCTCATGACCTTGTGATCCGCCTGCCTCGGCCTCTCAAAGTGCTGGGATTTCAGGTGTGAGCCACCACGCCCAGCCAGGAGATTACTCTTGATATTGTGGCCTAAAGAGCAAAGACTTAGGTTTCCCAGAGAAGGAATTCTGCCTCAAGACTGTCACATAGAAATCCTGCCTGAGTGGCCGGGCGCGGTGGCTCACTCCTGTAATCCCAGCACTTTGGGAGGCCGAGGTGGGCGGATCATGAGGTCAGGAGTTCGAGACCAGCCTGGCCAATATGGTGAAACCCCATCTCTACTAAAAATACAAAAATTAGCTGGGCGTAGTGGTGTATGCCTGTAGTCCCAGCTACTTGGGAGGCTGAGGCAGAAGAATCGCTTGAACCTAGGAGGCAGAGGTTGCAGTGAGCCGAGATCGTGCCACTGCACTCCAGCCTGGGCAACAGAGTGAGACTCCGTCTCAAAAAAAAAAAAGAAGACTATAGTTAATGAACAAGCAATCGGCCGGGCGCGGTGGTTCACGCCTGTAATCCCAGCACTGTGGGAGGCCGAGACGGGTGGATCACGAGGTCAGGAGATGGAGACCATCCTGGCTAACACGGTGAAACCCCGTCTCTACTAAAAATACAAAAAAATTAGCCAGGCGTGGTGGCAGGCGCCTGTAGTCCCAGCTACTTGGGAGGCTGAGGCAGGAGAATGGCGTGAACCCGGGAGGCGGAGCTTGCAGTGAGCCAAGATCACACCACTGCACTCCAGCCTGGGCGACAGAGCAAGACTCCATCACAACAACAACAACAACAACAAAAACAATGAACAAGCAGTCATGGTGCAATGTGATAAGACACCCAGGTGTTCTGAGAGTCAGAGGAGGGCTCAGGGGCCCCGTGGTCTATGCCTCAACGTTGGTGCTGGCTTTCCCTTCCTCATTTCTGTGCTTGCTTTTAGCCCCTGTTGTCTTGCCAGGACTCTAAATGTCTCTTAACTGGTCTTCCAGCCCCTACATACTGATTCCAGAATAATATTTCTGAAATGCAAATCAAATCATATCACTTCCTTATCTAAAATTCCATATAGCAAATCGCCTTACAAGCTGTAAATGCTGTTTCTTCCATAAGGCATTCTCTCCTTCCTCCCTGGTCTAGTGTCATTGTGGCCTTCCTTCCCTCCCCAGCCCTGAAAGGTCCTGAACTTGCAGTTCCTTTAATGCGCTCTGGGGTTTCATTGCTCACCTGGATGCTTGCATCTCTTCCTTGTCAGGTAAACACTCATCTTTTAAGGCTATCTCAAGTTCATTGATGAAACCTTTCTGATCTTCTAGAGAGACCTAATATTCCCCTGTTTGTGTCCCTGTGAACTTTATATGGACTCCTATCTCAGCTTGTATCAGTCAGGATGGCTACATCATGCTGCAGTAACAAACAACCCTGGAATCTCAGTAGCTTAACACAACAGTTTTATTTCTCACTATTGCTCTCTGTTGGGTCAGTAGGAGTGTTAGAGTCTCTGATCATCATAGTCACTCAGGCATCCAGATCAAAGGAGGCTCCATCAAAAGAGGGTGCTGGAGTGTCTTGTGTTACATTGGCAGTTAAATACTTGTGCCTGACAGTAACAACACATGTGACTTCTGCTCTTATTTCACTGGCCAAAGCAAGCCAGTTAGGCCTCTTGCAGTGGCCTAACTTCAGGAGGGCTGAGGAATTCCATCCTATCATGTGCCTGGAAGGCAGAAAACGGGAAAATTCATGAAGAGCCTCAATGGCTGCCTCAACTTGGTGTAGCGCTGACTGGCTCACATATCTCTCTCCCACTGGACAGTGGGGGAACCAAACGTGTCACAGCGTTCCTACCCTTTAGCAGTTTGTGCTCCAGGAATGTGGAGAGACCAGTATATGGATGGATTATAACTCTGTGTTAATGTTACAGTCTGGGTTTGCTGGCGTGGAAGGAGTTTGTGGAAGAAGGGCAGTAGTTTATAGGGAGAGGAGGATGGAAAGGGATGATCTTAATTTTGGTGACCCTGACAGCAGAGCTTGAGACAGGACTTGGCCGTAGGTAGTTAATTTAGGTGATCCCAGAAAGCAGAAGCGAGGCTATAGGGAGTGTGAGATCCTGAAGGAGGAAAGGCCAGTTTAAGAGAATGATGTTGGCCGGGTATGGTGGCTCACGCCTGTAATCCCAGCACTTTGGGAGGCTGAGGTGGGTGGATCACCTGAGGTCAGGAGTTCGAGACCAGCCTGGCCAACACGACGAAACCCTGTCTCTACTAAAATTGCAAAAATTAGCCTGGCGTGGTGGCATGTGCCTGTCATCCCAGCTATTTGGGAGGCTGAGGCAGGAGAATTGCTTGAACCTGGGAGGCGGAGGTTGCGGTGAGCAGAGATTGCACCATTGCACTCCAGCCTGGGCAACAGAGTGAGACTCCGTCTCAAAAAAAAAAAAAAAAAAAGAGTGATGTCACTGTTGTGTGCAGTGGAGTTCGATTCCCCCAGGCCCTCCTGAGGAGAGAGCTGAATGTCTCCAGACGCTTTCCACCTGAAGGACAGGAGGCAGGAGCATCTGTCTACTGCTTCCCACTCTGCAATAATTGCAGGTTGACTCTGGGCATTAGTTCTCTGCCCCTTTTTTTTTTTTTTTTGAGACAGAGTTTTGCTCCTTTTGCCCAGGCTGGAGTTGTAGTGAGCTGAGATAGCGCCACTGTACTCCAGCCTGGGTGACAGGGCGAGACTCCATCTCAACAAAAAAAAAAAAAAAAAAAAAAGGCTGGCTGTGGTGGCTCATGTCTGTAATCTGAGCACTTTGGGAGGCCGAGGCGGGTGGATTACCTGAGATCATGAATTTGAGACCAGCCTGGCAAACATGGTGAAACCTCGTCTCTACTAAAAATACAAAAATTAGCCGGCGTGCTGGTGGGCACCTGTAATCCGAGCTACTTGGGAGGCTGAGGCAGGAGAATCGCTTGAACCCAGGAGGCGGAGGTTGCAGTGAGCCAAGACGGCACCACTGCACTCCAGCCTGGGTGACAGAGTGAGACTCTGTCTCAGAAAAAAAAAAAAAAAGAAAAAAATTATGATACAGAGAACAATGAGATGTTTTATAAATTTATAGTTCAAAAGAAACATTTTATTTTGGTAAAAGCCAAGAAGTGAAAGATAAATAGTTTTGCAGCCATAAAAAAAAAAAATTAAATCATGTCCTTTGCAGCAACATGGATGGAGCTGGAGGACAGAATCCTAAATGAATTAGCGTAGGAACAGAAAACCAAATGCCTAATGTTCTCACTTATAACGGAACTAAATATTGAGCACATATGGACATAAATATAGGAACAATAGACACTGAAGACTACTAGAAGGGGAGAGAGGGAGGGAGTGTGGGTTAAAAAATTACCTAATTGGTTCTATGACTACCTAGTGCAATATACCCATGTAACAAACCTGCACCTGTACCCCCTGTATCTAAAATAAAAGTTGGAATTTTAAAAAAAGAAAAAAAGGCCAGGCGCGGTGGCTCATGCCTGTAATCCCAGCACTTTGGGAGGCTGAGGTAGGCGGATCACCTGAGGCCAGGAGTTGGAGACCAGCCTGGCCAACATGGTGAAACCCCGTCTCTACTAAAAATGCAAAAATTAGCTGGGCGTGGTGTCAGCCGTTTGTAATCCCAGCTACTTGGGAGGCTGAGGCAGGAGAATTGCTTGAACCCGGGAGGCGGAGGTTGCAGTGAGCCGAGATCACGCCATTGCACTCCAGCCTGGGTGACACAAAGAGACTCTATCTGAAAAAAAGAGAAAGAAAATGTGCTCTTATGTAAGTGAGAAATGTTCTGAAAAAAGAAAAAAGAGAAATATTTTAAAATGAAAAATTTGAGCTTTTCCGTAAAAAAATTTTTAATGAATTCCCAGCACTTTGGGAGGCCTAGGTTGGAGGATTGCTTGAGGCTAGTTCAAGACCAGCCTGGAAAACATAGCAAGACCTCATCTCTAATTAAAGTAAACAATTAAAAAAAACTTAGCCTGGTATGATGGTATATGCCTGTAATCTCAGCTACTCAGGAGGCTGAGGTGGGAGGATTGTGGAAGCCCAGGAGTTTGAGGCTGCCGTGAGCTATGATCAGGTCTCTGCACTCCAGCCTGGGCAACAAAGCAAGACCCCATCTCAAAAAAAAAATATTCCTCGAGGCCAGGCACAGTGGCTCACACTTGTAATCCTAACACTTTGGGAGACTGAGGCAGGAGGATCACTTGAAGCTAGGAGTTTGAGGCCAGTCCGGGCAACATACTGAGACCCCTGTCTTTACAAAAGTAAATAAATGAATAAATTAGCTGGGCATGGTGATGCATGCTTCTTGTCCCAGCTTCTTGGAAGGCTGAGGTGGGAGGATCATGTGAGCCCAGGAGTTTGTGGTTACAGTGAGCTGTGATTGCACCACTAAACTCCAGCCTGGGTGACAGTGAGACCCTGTCTTTAACTTAAAAAAAAAAAAAAATCCTGGCTGGGAGCGGTGGCTCACGCCTGTAATTCCAGCACTTTGGGAGGCCGAGGTGGGCGGATCACGAGGTCAGGAGTTCAAGACCAGCCTGGCCAAGTTGGTGAAACCCCATCTCTACTAAAAATACAAAAAAATTAGCTGGGTGTAGTGGCGGGCACCTGTAATCCCAGCTACTCAGGAGGCTTGAACCTGGGAGGCAGAGGTTGCAGTGGGCCGAGATTGCATCACTGCACTCCAGCCTGGGTGACAGAGCAAGACTCTGTCTCAAAAAAAAAAAAAAAAAAAAAATTCCTGGAAGGAATGGTTGGTGGGTGGTATATAGACATGAACCCAGACCGTCTATGAACCGAGACCGTCTATGAACTGAAGCTAGATGATGGATACATACATGAAAGTTCATTTTACTATTCTCTCTACTTTACAATATGTTTGAAATTTTACAAAATAAAACTTAATCTGCAGAGAGATTGTATCAGGGTCTCTTGTTAATAGTCCAGTAGGGTATTTCTTTTCTTTTCTTTTCTTTTCTTTTTTTTTTTTTTTCTGGAGACGGAGTTTTGTTCTTGTTGCCCAGGTTGGAGTGCAGTGGTGCAATCTCAGCTCACAGCAACCTCTGCCTCCCAGGTTCAAGCAATTCTCCTGCCTCAGCCTCCTGAGTAGGTGGGGTGACAAGTGCCTGCCAACACACCCGGCTAATTTTTGTATTTTTAGTAGAGACGGGATTTCACCATGTTGGTCAGGCTGGTCTCAAACTCCTGACCTCAGGTGATCCACCTGCCTTGGCCACCCAAAGTGCTGGGATTACAGGCGTGAGCCACTGGGCCTGGCCTTGAATAGGTATCATATGTACCCAGTGAAAACTACAAGGAGTAATAAAGGGGATT
The DNA here is from genome assembly GCF_000001405.40 of Homo sapiens. Lineage (NCBI taxonomy): Eukaryota > Metazoa > Chordata > Mammalia > Primates > Hominidae > Homo > Homo sapiens. The sequence continues at coordinate 3,175,474 of NT_167248.2, forward strand.
TGGTGAAAATTAAGTTGCCTTCTTTACCTCCCACCTCATTTTCCAGCCCCCAGTTCTCCCCAGAGGCAACTCTCCTATCCAGTTTTTTGTAAACTTTTCCAGTGAAATTATATACACACAGAGAGCATATGTGGCTACTATCCTCTTTCCCTCCTTTTTTTGCATAAATGGTGGCATCCCATACATACAGTTCTGAATGTCTATCTAGTTTAAAAGTGTATATTATATAACATATATATCTGGAGACATTCAGCTCTGTACACACAGATAAGCCTTAAGCTTGCAGAGACTGCGTAGTATTCAGTTGTCCCCATACCACAATGTGCTGTGTCTGTCCCCTATTAATGGACGTGGGAGTTTCCAAACATTTCCTCTTGGTAACAGTGAATGCTAAAGCAAATATCCTGGTACCTTTTATACCTGTAGGGTAGCCGATCTTCTCCTTTTGATGGTCCTAATTCTCAAAGGTAACCTTAAGGGGAGTGTATTTTGCTGTTGGTTCTGTGGATGACAGGTGACAAAACAGGGTGAGTAAGGCTACGAAATAGCTAATGAATTTGCCAAGCCAAACCTGAGGTTCCAGGCTGTCTTAAGTCAAAGCCTGAATTCCTCATACCACACTGGGGCTGGGGCCAGAGACGGGGCAGGAGGAGCTCTTCTCAGGTATAACCTTTCATTTGTGTTGGGCAGGAAAGCAAGGCATGAACGTATGTCTTTCTACTGGGCAAGTTCCCTCTTCACCCCTTGGCAGCACTGGAGGAGTGAGGGCAGGAGGATTCTCCCATGTGAGCCCCAGGCTATCCTTTTGTCAAGAGGGTACTGGTACCCAGAACTGGGAAGGGGATGAATATCTCCCCACTCCCCAGGATAAAGGAAAACATTAGAGAGGAATTTTCAATGAAAGGGCAGAGGAGGCTAGTGAGGCCCCCACTGCCACCAATGCTAAGCCCAGAGCTGGGGTTGGGGTGGTGAGGACCGGAGCCAGGGCAATTCAGCCATAGGCCACCCCTCCCCCTGGCCCATCCTCAGCTGACCCCTGAGCACCTGAGTTGTGTTTACCACCCTCTTACCTGGGTTACCCAGGGCAGCTTCCCTGATGGGTAGCAAGAAGTGGGTGATAACATGCACCATGCCCCCCACCAGCCCAAGGACAGTGGAGACCTCAGAGGGCTGAGGTAAGAGCTGCGGTGTGGGCAGATGGACACCCTGGTACACCCCAGGCCTGTGAGTCTTTAGAGGTTGAGTTTTTGTCTGAAAGAGATATGGCGCCTACAGGAGGTCAGGGACAGGCCTTCTGTTTCTTGGGAGGCCCTACCCCACCCCTTAGTTCCTCGTTCCATTCTCAGGAATTGTTTGTGCAATGGATGGACAAGGACAGGAGGTTCAGTGTCTAACCCAGTGTCTGGGCCTGCAGGGTGGCCTCTGAGGCCCAGGGCCCTGGAAGAGCCTGGGCATGGGGAGGAGCCCCATGGGGCAGGGCAAAACCCTTTCTGAGGCTCTAAGGGTGATGTATGTGGAGATTCCTCAAGATCATAGTTGGGCAATCACTTCAAAGTTAGTAGGCAGTGCCTGCTAGGATGGGGGATGGTGTGTGTACCGAGGAACTTAGCAGAGGCCTTTGTGTGGAAATGGGTGGGGTCTGACCCAATGTAAATATTTTTATTAAAAAAGAAATGGATGAGAAACCAAAGCCAATTCTGTTGCTGACCTGAAAGATGCTATTTACTTGGGGTGGAAATAGGATGGGGGAGGGCATTGGCTTGACCTTACTTGGATAGCTCATTGTTTAAAAAAAAAACTCCTGGATCCTTCCTCTGGGGAGCTTGAGACAAGTGCACAAGTAGCTAGAAGGTGGGAAATGGCGTGGACAGGTCTTGTAGGAGTCTGGAAGATGAGGGATTTGAGAAGGATGGAAAAGAAGGTGTTATGGGAGAGGGGGTGCCAAGAGGAAAGAGCCTAGGGGAGAGAGGGCTTGGAAATGCAAGGGGCTGGGGTAGACTTCAGGGATGCGCAAGGAGCTCCCAGCAGTCACTAAAGAGAAGACGTGAGGAAGAGGCACTACCACTTGGTGGCTATGAGTGTGGACCCAGGAGCCATGCTGCCTGGGTTTGAATCCCGGCTCTGCTGCTTAGTACCTGTATGAACCTGGGGCAGCTCACTTAACCTTTGTGTGCCTCAGTTCCCTCATCTGTAAAGTGGGAGTAACAACAGAACCTGTGTCATAAGCTTGCTGTGAGGATTAAGTGAGCACCTACATTTAAGACTTAAAAATACTGTCTGGCACTATGTCCTGCTAATATGAAGTCTTCCTCCCCCAGAAGCAGACCTGGAGACAAGGGTTCCAGTGCAGACAGTGCATTCTGGAGGTGATCGCAAGAAACATGGGTAGTGGAGTGTGATAGAGAAGGAAGGCAGTCAATGAAGGGTGTGTTATCAGGCAAATTTACCATTGTGGGTGAGTGGAGGTCAATCCCACTCAGGAACCCTGGAGTGGTGCAGAGTTATCCCATGGTCCAGGGTGAGGGAGCCCAGTATTTATACCAATCAGTCATTGGTTGAAGGCCTTAATTCTCTGTCATTTCCAGCTTTCTGTGCACAGATGGTGCAGGACACCAAAAACAATCCTTGGGTAGAGACAGAGATGCTGCAGCTGGAAGTCAGTGGAGCACCCCAGTGATAAGGCCCAAGGGATATGGTGGGGCAAGGACAGATCCACTAAAACCACCAAGAGGCTTGCAGAGCAATGCTGAATCCCCATCTAAAGTCACACATTAAGGCTGTGAACCAGGCCAAGCCAGACTAGTTTTCCAATTTGGGGGTTGACCTGCAGTTGCCATAGAAGGTTGAGGGGTGGCAGATCCTAGGATGACCGCGAAGTCCATGCCCAAGTGGCCAGACTGGATAAGGAGTAGACTGGCCACTAGAGTGGGGTCGGCCTCTGCTATATGCCACGTTTCCTCAGAAATTTTCAGCTGCAAGGTGCTGAGCTCTCCAGGGGAGAATAAGGCATCCTGAGAGGCCATCAGAGCATCATTTCTGATTTTTAAACTCTGATTAGGGGGCCTGGCACAGTGGCTCACACCTGTAATCCCAGCACTTTGGGAGGCAGAGGCAGGTGGATCACCTGAGGTCAGGAGTTTGAGACCAGCCTGACCAGCATGGTGAAACCCCATCTCTACTAAATATACAAAAATTAGCTGGGCATGGTAGCACATGCCTGTAATCCCAGCTACTTGGGAGTCTGAGGCAGGAGAATCCCTTGAACCCAGGAGGTGGAGGTTGCAGTGAGCCGAGATCGTACTGCTTCACTCCAGCCTGGGCAACAAAGCAAGACTTTGTCTCAAAAACAAAAAACCAAAAAAACCAAAAGCAAAAATCCAACTCTGACTAGGAGATGAAGTACAGAATTGGGGTATTGGTTTTTTCTCTTTGGAATTGTACCCTTGGAAGCAGATATTAGAAGCCTAGAATTGATAAGAAGAAATTTGGACAAGATGGAAGAAGCTGGCAGGAGAGGCATGTCTGTTTTTTAGATATTATTCACCTGCTTCCCTCTACCTGGAGTGAAAACACGGTTACATTTGCTGGGCTTTTGAATGGTACAAGAAATAGAGAAGCCAAGGTCGCCCTCATCTGGTGGGGTCTACTGAAAAGCTAATCGGGAGTGCCGAGGGGAATAAAGGTCTGGCATCTTTAGCCCCACAGGTCAGGTCATGGTCCTTCCACATTCGACTGGGCCTCCTGGAGAGCTGACAGTGGACTATAACTGACTTTTTGCCAATGGAATATGAATGGAAGAGTGGGGTGGGAGGCAGACTTGATGGAGACCCTGTTTCAACCATGCAGACAAGGACAATTTCCAAAGGCATGAACCACAGATGGAAGGAAGCTGGAGGCCTGAAGGAGGCTGATGAGCAGCTCTGCCAGCCAGGGCCACACACGCCATCTCAGCCTTGTCTGCTTACCCTGAGCCTCTTATTTTGTTTTTATTTTTTTTTTGTTGAGATGGAGTCTTGCTCTGTCACCCAGGCTGGAGTGCAGTGGCACGATCTCCGCTCACTGCAAGCTCCATCTCCCGGGTTCACGCCATTCGCCTGCCTCAGCCTCCCGAGTAGCTGGGACTACAGGCGCCGCCACCACACCCAGCTAATTTTTTTTTTTTTGTAGTTTTAGTAGAGACAGGGTTTCACCATGTTAGCCAGGATGGTCTCGATCTCCTGACCTCGTGATCCGCCCGCCTCGGCCTCCCAAAGTGCTGGGATTACAGGCGTAAGCCACCGCACCCGGCCTCTGAGGCTCTTATTTATTTATTTTTTTTGAGATGGAGTCTCGCTCTGTCTCCCAGGCTGGAGTGCAGTAGCGCGATCTCAGCTCACTGCAAACTCTGCCTCCCGGGTTCCTGCCATTCTCCTGCCTCAGCCTCCCGAGTAGCTGGGACTACAGGCGCCTGCCACCGCGCCCGGCTAATTATTTGTATTTTTTAGTAGAGACGGGGTTTCACCGTGTTAGCCAGGATTGTCTCGATCTCCTGACCTTGTGATCCACCCGCCTCGGCCTCCCAAAGTGCTGGGATTACAGGCGTGAACCACCGCGCCCGGCCTCTGAGGCTCTTATTTGAAAGTGCAGCAAAATTCTATCTTATTTAAGTTACTGTATTTTAGGGTCTCTTTATTACAGAAGTTTAACGTGTATCCTAATAAACACACTTCTCTGAGTGTTGCCTTTGGCTCTCACATTGATTTCTTGCTAGGTATATCAGTTAGACATGGTTTGGCTTTGTTATAACCAAGCTAGAATAACAGCAGCTTAAATGGTCTGAGCATAAGTGGTCCAGGTCAATCCTATTAGCTCTACAGGATTGGAGAGCAGGGCCTCTTTAATTTTGTTTCTTTATCATCATCCACATGTGACTTCCATTTTGTGATCTAGGTGGCTGTTCCAGAGTCCACCATTCTGTCCACATTCCAGCTGGTGGGAAGGGAAGAAGTTTTATACATTGAGGAGTAAACACTTCTCCTTAAGAACATACTCTGTGGGCCCAGAAAACTTGGGAGTTTTATTACTTAAGCAGGAAGAGAGAATGAATTCTGCCACACTGTGCCAAGTTGATGTAGCTCAACAAATACTGGGAAAAACTCATGAAAGAAAGGCCCTTTCTTTTGAAGGCAGCTGTTACATATTAGTTTGATGGCTTTAAAAGGCACCCAAAGTTTAGTGATTTGAATGTTCAGTCAGGTTAGGCTTCATTACGTTCTGGTAACCAACAACCTAGAAATATTTGTTGCCATAGGAGGGCTTACAAAATATAGCCATCAGTCTCTCCTATTCTGATGTGCCTGCCCCTTTGCCGTGTGACTTTGCCATCCCTCCTATCAAGAGGTAAATTCTATGCCTCCAGTCTTAAATCTGGGCTGACCTTGTGATTTGCTTTGACCAATAGAATGTGGCAGAAGTGATGTTATGTGACTTTTGGGGCTAGGCCTCGAGAGACCTTGCAGCTTATGTTTTGGATTCCTCAGAAGTTGTCCTGAGACTGCCATGCTATGAGGGCTAGGGAGGAAGGACCTGCTGTCCTACTGTTAACTGAACTCAGCCCCTAGCTGACTGCCGCTGCATGGAAGATCAGCAGAAGAACCTTCTGGCCAATATGAGAAAGAATAAATCATTTTTAAATTTCCTACATATTGGGTGGGTACTTTTTTTCCTGCATTAGTAGAAATGCAATGAATTAAAATAACAAAGGTTTATTTTTTGGTCATATTACTTATCCACTGAGAGTCAGCCGAGTATTGCGCTTTTTTTTTCTTTTTTGAGACAGAGTCTCCCTATGTCACCCAGGCTGAAGTGCAGTGGTGTGATCTCGGCTCACTGCAATCTCTGCCTCCCGGGTTCAAGCGATTCTCCTACCTCAACCTCCTGAGCAGCTGGGATTACAGGCGTATGCCACCACGCCCAGCTAATTTTTGTATTTTTAGTAGAGATGGGGTTTCACCATGTTGGTCAGGCTGGTCTCTAACTCCTGAACTCAGGTGATCCCCCTGCCTCGGCCTCCCAAAGTGCTGGGATTACAGGTGTGAGCCACTGTGCCCGGCTGGTACTGTGCTTTCGATATCACCCAGGGATCTTGGCTGGTGGAGCAGCCACCATCTCAGACGTTACCATACAGAGGGGAAGAGCAGGGTGAAGACTACATTGAGCTTCCATCAGGAAGTGATACATATCACTTGTACTCACATCTTATTGGCTAAAACAAGTGGCTGGGGAAATCCTATCCTACCATGTGATTGAAAGAAGACAAGGCTACAGTATTTGTGAACATCCTTAAATACCCCCCACCTTTACGATAGTTTATTTCTCTCTTGTAACAATCTAAGTGGCTGTGCAGGGCTGGTATGACATCAACACTGTGTCAGACACCCAGGCTCCTCTGTCTGTTTGCTCTGTCATCCCCAGCATGTTGCCCTCATCCTCCTGGTGGAAGACGGATCTCCGCTAGGTTTATATTCCAGCCCATGAAAAGAAAAGGCACACTGCCTTTTTATTTTAGGGACATAACTTGGAAATGACATACATAAGTTCTACTAACATCCCATTAGCCAGAACCAAGTCACCTGGCTACCTAGCTGCAAGGGAAGCTAGGAAATATGGTCTTTAGCTGGGTGACTGTGTGTTCCCCTAACCATCTCTTACTGTGGAAGGAGGGAGAAAAGATACTTGAGGGGCAGGGGAGGCACTAGCAGCTCTGCCACAGCAGCCACTTTGGAGTCCCTAACACCAGGATGTCCTGATTTTCATGCACTTAGCCCTGTCCAAGGGGAGTCTCAATTTGTGTACTCTTTTTTTTTTTTTTGAGACAGAGTCTTGCTCTTGTCACCCAGGCTGGAATGCAGTGGCATGATCTTGGCTCACTGCAACCTCTGCCTCCCGGGTTCAAGTGATTCTCCTGCCTCAGCCTCCCGAGTAGCTGGGATTACAGGCCCCTGCCACCACACCCGGCTAATTTTTTGTAATTTTAGTAGAGACGGGGTTTCACCATGTTGGCCGGGCTGGTCTCAAATTCCTGACCTCATGATCCACCCGCCTCAGCCTCCCAAAATGCTGGGATTACAGGCGTGAGTCACTGTGCCCGGTCTTATTTTTTTTTTTTCTTTTTGAGATGTAGTCTTACTCTGTTGCCCAGGCTGGAGTGCAGTGGCACAATCTTGGCTCACTGCAACCTCCATCTTCTAGGTTCAATCAGTTCTCTAAGGACTCACTTATAAATCAAAAGGGTTTTTACGAACCTAAATGATCACTTCAGAGAGGTTTCATGTTCATTTTTTTATTGGTCTTATTTATTTTTACCCTACATTGTTCAAAAAGGTATTGAAAAGACTTCTGTGGGTCAGGGAGACTAACACACTAGCTTCAAGTTTCTTTGCTTCCTGCATTTCATACAAGTGTAGGTTATGATTTAAAGGCATATCCCAGCCCCCGCAAAAGTTTTATTCCTTTGAGTAACCAACCCCAAATGTATTTACTTTGCCAGTTGGGAATTTCATCTACTAGACTTTCCGTAAAAATGTTGTAAACATTTTTCCTGTCTCCAAAACTAAGTGTTGATTTCATTTTTTCCACCTAGATTATCTCTAGGGAAGGATTGTAGGGAATAAAAAAGTATTGTCAATCTTCCTATTTATCAAGAAGTTCTAAAAAAATTAGTTTCACCCCCCTCGGAAGTTTATCTTCAAGAAGACAGAACTGTTCTAGGCTCTCAGGAAGTAAAACCCACTTGGTACAACCCAAAAGAACACTAAAACTTTACTTAAATGAAATATTTTGCAATATCTTGGATGGTTTGTGGGTTTGTGTGCTTTAGACTATTGACTATTCACACAAGAGCAAGGTGCATGTGTGCACACACGAGCCCAAATATGTGTTTGCCTGCGTGTTTGTGAGCATGCGTGTATGGTGCACATGTGCACGCATGGGTGGGTGGAGCGTGGGGGCAGTACACAAAGCCTGTGGGGGAGATCTATTGACCCTATAGATATATTAGCATCAGGGAGACAGGGCAAAGGTTTCACCCTTCAGTTCAGTCCCCAATCCCTGCTTATTATTTCCCTAACAGAAGACCATCCCCCTTGCCACTCCCTGGTTTTTCTTCTCTGGCAGCAATGAAGCAGCTGCTGACCCAGCTCTAGTTTTCGGGAAGTCAGATGACCTTTTCCCTCCCGCGGCTCTCTACCTCTCGCCGCCCCTAGGGAGGACACCATGGGCCCACTGATGGTTCTTTTTTGCCTGCTGTTCCTGTACCCAGGTAGGAGGCAGGGAAGGGGGAACGTCAGGGTCCTGTGTGTGAGGTTGGTGCTCCCAGCTTGAATTCCCATGTGTGAAACAGTCTCTTTTGCTTTCCTTTTCTCATCTGTGTCTTCCTTCTTTCTCCATTGCTGTCTCCTTGTTCCCACGGCTCTAGGTCTGGCAGACTCGGCTCCCTCCTGCCCTCAGAACGTGAATATCTCGGGTGGCACCTTCACCCTCAGCCATGGCTGGGCTCCTGGGAGCCTTCTCACCTACTCCTGCCCCCAGGGCCTGTACCCATCCCCAGCATCACGGCTGTGCAAGAGCAGCGGACAGTGGCAGACCCCAGGAGCCACCCGGTCTCTGTCTAAGGCGGTCTGCAAACGTGAGGCTCCCTGTGGGCTTTGCTCAGGGTGGTACACCAGGGGCCACCCCAGAACTTTTGTTTAGGAGTTGCTCAGGGTGGGACTTAACCTGACTAGATGGCAAAGTTGCTTTTGCAGAGGGCTTTTCAAAATATCCAGAAAATGTCAATTGCCAGTAGCAAGGAATTGGGAACAGGTCTTGATGGAGACTGTGGGGTACTAAAGCCAGGGATGACTTTTTATGTACAATTGACTGCCTAGTAGTGACCATTCAGAACAGATGCTGAATGGTCCTGGAGTCCTCTAGACATCTGAGGATCCCAAGGGGAGTGTCTGGGGAGGCCACGGCCCTCAGGAGACTGAGGGAAGTGGCTATTTATCAATCAGTTCGCTTAGACTCTGTGAAATTGGCAATATTCAATCAGTTGCCAAAAACAGCAATTTCACATGTTGCAACCTAATATTTCAGTGTTTTGACAGCCAGTTGACCATTCCCATGCATTCCAGCATAAAATCACCTGCTTAATCCCCAGCCCAGGTGTTATCCATCCAGTCCTATATTCCCCACCCACTTCCTCTCTCTCCAGCTGTGCGCTGTCCAGCCCCTGTCTCCTTTGAGAATGGCATTTATACCCCACGGCTGGGGTCCTATCCCGTGGGTGGCAATGTGAGCTTCGAGTGTGAGGATGGCTTCATATTGCGGGGCTCGCCTGTGCGTCAGTGTCGCCCCAACGGCATGTGGGATGGAGAAACAGCTGTGTGTGATAATGGGGGTGAGTTCTCTGGCTGATGGGCTACACAGGGGGCTGGGGTCTCCTGGGGAACCCTGGGGCCCAATGTGCATCCAGGAAGCCTCTGTGGGGATAGGAGTCTGTTGTTCAGTGTGCCATAATAATATTCCTGGATTTTGGTAAATTGAGGTCTACAGGTCACACATCACAAGTCTGCAAGGGCCAGGCCCCAGGCAGCTGGTGCTAAGCTTCAGATGTAGCATAAAGCCTCCACACACTCTGCCTGGCTTTTCTAAGTGCCTCAAAGCAAGACTTCATATTCAGGCCCCACAGATTGTTGTAGGGAAGATATGCTGGGAGAGAGTCAAGTACTGTGCTTTAATGCCTTGCCTTTAAAGCCAGGTTTGGGTTCCAAGCCCTACTCTGACTTTGACAGACTTTGGGAAGGCTATTTAACCTTTCTAGCCCTCAGTTTTCCCATCTGTAAGACAAGGATAGTGAGTGCTGACCTGAGATTGCCATCTGGATTAAATGAGTTGACATTAGTAAGCATATACAACAGCCCTGGAGTGCGGTGGCTCACGCCTGTAATCCCAGCACTTTGGGAGGCCAAGGGGGGTGGATCACAAGGTCAGGAGTTTGAGACCAGCTTGGCCAACATGGTGAAACCCCGTCTCTAGTAAAAATACAAAAATTAGCCGGGTGCGGTGGCGCATGCCTGTAATACCAGCTATTCAGGAGGCTGAGGCAGGAGAATCATTTGAACCAGGAAGTGGAGATTGCAGTGAGCCGAGATTGCATCATTGCACTCCAGCCTGAGTGACAGAGTAAGACTCTGTCTCAAAAAAAAAAAAAAAAAAAAAAAATGCCAGCCTCGGTGCCTCACGCCTGTAATCCCAGCACTTTGGGAGGCTGAGGTGGGTGGATCACCTGAGGTCAGGAGATTGAGACCAGCCTGGTCAACGTGGTGAAACCTCGTCTATACTAAAAATACAAAAATTAGCTGGGCGTGGTTAATCCCAGCTACTCAGGAGGCTGAGGCAGGAGAATCACTTGAACCTGGGAGGCAGAGGTTGCAGTGAGCCGAGATCGTGCCACTGCACTCCAGCCTGGGTGACAGAGTGAGACTCTGTCTCAAAACAAACAAACAAACAAACAAACAAAAAACAAAAAAAACAGCCCCTGGAATCTGATAAATGCCATGTACACTTTTTTTTTTTTTTGAGACGGAGTCTAGCTCTTGTTGCCCAGGCTGGAGTGCAATGGCGCAATCTCAGCTCACCGCAACATCTGCCTCCCGGGTTCAAGTGACTCTCCTGCCTCAGCCTCCCAAGAAGCTGGGATTACAGGCATGCGCCACCATGCCTCGGTAATTTTCTATTCTTAGTAGGGACAGGGTTTCTCCATGTTGGCCAGGCTGGTCTCAAACTCCTGACCTCAGGGGATTCTGCCCACCTTGGCCTCCCAAAGTGCTGGGATTACAGGCGTGAGCCACGGCATCCGGCCTTGTTTTTGTTTCTTTAAGAGACAGGATCTCGCTGTGTTGCCAAGGCTGGCTTCAAACTCCTGAGCTCAAGTGATCTTCCTACCTCAGCCTCCTCAGTAGCTGGGAATGCAGGCATGTGCCACCACACCTGGCCATAAGCACTTTTGTCATAGTTATTGCTGCCCCTGTGAATGGTGAGGGGCTCTGCTTGGCAGAAGTAGGGCTCCTAGGATTCCCTGGAGCTGCATTTGCCTGTGGGTTTGGGAGCTTCTTGGATCATGGTTCTTAGCACATCATACAGAAGACACGGAGTCCACAAGATGGCAGGACCACCTTCACCTAGTGGCCCAGACCATGGATCCCCACTCATGCCCTTGGGTTTTGGCAAATGGCCATTTATTCTGTAGGAGGGTGAAGTAGATGCCTGGTAAGACTGTGATAAGTAATGCTTGAATTATTAGACGTGACTCTAACTTATTTTAAAATTGAGGCATAATTTACCTATTGTAAAATGTACAAATCTTAACTATTCAGCTCAATGATTTGTTACAATGCATCCACTCATCTAATCACCACCCAAGACAGAATGAGGTTCCCTCTTGTCCCCTCCCACAAGGTAACTGCTCTTCTGACCTCTGTCTCCATGGACTAGGTACCTTGTGCTTACATTTCCTGTAAATGGAATCATGCGGGATGTGGTCTGTTGCTTCTGGCATCCTTTGTTCTATATTCTGCCTGTGAGATTTATCCATGCTGTTGTGTGTATCAGTACTTTGTTCTTTTTTATTGCTGTGTAGTATTCCATTATATGGGTATATTACAATTTATCCATTCCCCTCCTGATGGACATTTGGATTATTTCCAGTTTGGGGCCATTAGGAGTAAAGCTCTAGGAACATTCTTTTTTTTTTTTTTTTTTTAATTGATCATTCTTGGGTGTTTCTCACAGAGGGGGATTTGGCAGGGTCACAGGACAATAGTGGAGGGAAGGTCAGCAGATAAACAAGTGAACAAAGGTCTCTGGTTTTCCTAGGCAGAGGACCCTGCGGCCTTCCGCAGTGTTTGTGTCCCTGGGTACTTGAGATTAGGGAGTGGTGATGACTCTTAAGGAGCATGCTGCCTTCAAGCATCTGTTTAACAAAGCACATCTTGCACCGCTCTTAATCCATTCAACCCTGAGTGGATACAGCACATGTTTCAGAGAGCACAGGGTTGGGGGTAAGGTCACCGATCAACAGGATCCCAAGGCAGAAGAATTTTTCTTAGTACAGAACAAAATGAAAAGTCTCCCAGGTCTACCTCTTTCTACACAGACACGGCAACCATCCGATTTCTCAAACTTTTCCCCACCTTTCCCCCCTTTCTATTCCACAAAACCGTCATTGTCATCATGGCCCCTTCTCAATGAGCTGTTGGGTACACCTCCCAGACGGGGTGGTGGCCGGGCAGAGGGGCTCCTTACTTTCCAGTAGGCGCGGCCAGGCAGAGGCGCCCCTCACCTCCCGGACAGGGCGGCTGGCCGGGCGGGGGGCTGACCCCCCCACCTCCCTCCCGGACGGGGCGGCTGGCCGGGCGGGGGGCTGATCCCCCCACCTCCCTCCCGGACGGGGCGGCTGGCCGGGCGGGGGGCTGACCCCCCCACCTCCCTCCCGGACAGAGTGGCTGGCCGGGCAGAGGGGCTCCTCACTTCCCAGCAGGGGCGGCCGGGCAGAGGCGCCCCTCACTTCCCGGATGGGGCGGCTGGCCGGGCGAGGGGCTGACCCCCCCACCTCCCTCCCGGACGGGGCGGCTGGCCGGGCAGAGTGGCTCCTCACTTCCCAGTAGGGGCGGCCGGGCAGAGGCGCCCCTCACTTCCCGGACGGGGCGGCTGGCCGGGCTGGGGGCTGACCCCCCCACCTCCCTCCCGGACGGGGCGGCTGGCCGGGCGGGGGGCTGACCCCCCCACCTCCCTCCCGGACCAGGTGGCTGCTGGGCGGAGGGGCTCCTCACTTCTCAGACAGGGCGGCTGCCGGGCGGAGGGGCTCCTCACTTCTCAGATGGAGCGGTTGCCAGGCAGAGGGTCTCCTCACTTCTCAGACGGGGCGGCCGGGCAGAGACGCTCCTCACATCCCGGATGGGGCGGCCGGGCAGAGGTGCTCCCCACATCTCAGACGATGGGCGGCAGGGCAGAGACGCTCCTCACTTCCCAGATGTGATGGCGGCCGGGAAGAGGCGCTCCTCACTTCCTAGATGGGATGGCGGCCGGGCAGAGACGCTCCTCACTTTCCAGACTGGGCAGCCAGGCAGAGGGGCTCCTCACATCCCAGACGATGGGTGGCCAGGCGGAGACGCTCCTCACTTCCCAGACGGGGTGGCGGCCGGGCAGAGGCTGCAATCTCGGCACTTTGGGAGGCCAAGGCAGGCTGCTGGGAGGTGGAGGTTGTAGCGAGCCAAGATCACGCCACTGCACTCCAGCCTGGGCATCATTGAGCACTGAGTGAACGAGACTCCGTCTGCAATCCCAGCACCTCGGGAGGCCGAGGCTGGTGGATCACTCGCGGTTAGGAGCTGGAGACCAGCCCGGCCAACACAGCGAAACCCCGTCTCCACTAACAAAATACGAAAACCAGTCAGGCGTGGCGGCGCGCGCCTGCAATCGCAGGCACTCGGCAAGCTGAGGCAGGAGAATCAGGCAGGGAGGTTGCAGTGAGCCGAGATGGCAGCAGTACCGTCCAGCTTCGGCTCGGCATCAGAGGGAGACCGTGGAAAGAGAGGGAGAGGGAGACCATGGGGAGAGGGTGAGGGAGAGGGAGCTCTAGGAACATTCTTGCATGTGATTTTGGTACATGTATGCACTTGCTTCTCTTGAGTAAATGATCTAAATGTGGAATTGTCACATCACAGGCTGGCATATGTTTAGTTGTAGTAGAGGCTGAGAAAGTTTCACCCACGTACATGCCAGCAAGGTAACAGAGTGCCAGTCGCTCTGCATCCTCTCCAACACTTGGAATTACCTGTTGTTTCAGTGTTAGCCGTTTTGATGGGTGTGTAGGGATGCCTCACTGTGGTTTATGAAATATAAATGTTCTCTGAAGGAGTGGAGGGACCATCAGCTGACTTCTTCCCTGGGTCTCTGGGGGCTCTGGGACAGACATGGGTGCATCCCTGGGTTGGAACTGGGAAGCTTCTGCTGGCAACTGAGGCCGCTGAGGAGGCAGAGCCTGATGGGAGGGGGCTACTCACCTCTGCCTTCCTTTGTTCACTCGCAGCTGGCCACTGCCCCAACCCAGGCATTTCACTGGGCGCAGTGCGGACAGGCTTCCGCTTTGGTCATGGGGACAAGGTCCGCTATCGCTGCTCCTCGAATCTTGTGCTCACGGGGTCTTCGGAGCGGGAGTGCCAGGGCAACGGGGTCTGGAGTGGAACGGAGCCCATCTGCCGCCGTGAGTAGCTGCCCTGCCCTCCTGAGATTCCTCGGCACACCCGGCCACTGCCCCGGCTGACTCCTGTGTGGCTCTCCCCACAGAACCCTACTCTTATGACTTCCCTGAGGACGTGGCCCCTGCCCTGGGCACTTCCTTCTCCCACATGCTTGGGGCCACCAATCCCACCCAGAAGACAAAGGGTGAGTGTTTGAGGTGGGGTTTCTGGTTGAGCAGGGTGCTGGATCTGGGCCGGAGCAAGGGAGGATGCAACCTTCCTGGAGGCCAGGAGCCTTGGTGGGCTCAGCCACTGAAAGGGAGGGAGGCAGAGAAGCTGGACCTGCTTGGCGAGAGCGCAGGAAGGAGGTGGGGATCTGAATCCTCCCCTTCCACATTTCTCCAGAAAGCCTGGGCCGTAAAATCCAAATCCAGCGCTCTGGTCATCTGAACCTCTACCTGCTCCTGGACTGTTCGCAGAGTGTGTCGGAAAATGACTTTCTCATCTTCAAGGAGAGCGCCTCCCTCATGGTGGACAGGGTCAGGAATCAGGAGTCTGCCTGCAGCAGAGGCCTTCCTGTGCTCACTATCTCTCTCTGTCTCCTTCCCCTCCTCAGAACCCCACTCACAGCCCACCTCCTCCAAGAAGTCTTCTCAGATTATACTCATGCCATGTAGGAATCATGAATTCAATTTATACAATCATAATTTTTATTCCACAAGCACTGTTGGGACACTGTGCTGGGGCTGGGCGACAGCAAAGATGGAAAGGCTGAGGTCTTACTTTCCAGGAATTCATCATCTAGAACAGTGGTCTCCACAGAAAGGTAGTGAGATAACCCACAGGAGTGAAGCAGAAAAATACTGGTGCCCCTGTGGAATAATTTAAATCAGATTAATAATTTAATATTTAATAATTTCCTTTTAAAACTTCAACATTTTGTGCAGGCTTTAAAATGTGTGTGATAGACTGGGCATGGTGGCTAGTGCCTGTAATCCCAACACTTTGGGAGGCCGAGGCAGGTGGATCACTTGAGGTCAGGAGTTTGAGACCAGCCTGACCAACATGATGAAACCCTGTCTATACTAAAAATACAAAATTAGCCACATGTGATGGCGCACGCCTGTAACCCAGCTACTTGGGAGGATGAGGCAGGAGAATCGCTTGGATCCGGGAGGTGGAGGTTGCAGTGGGCTGAGATCACGCCATTGCACTCCAGCCTGGGCAACTAGAGCAAAACTCTGTCTCAAAAAAATAAATAAAATAAAATAAAATAAAATAAAATATGTGTGATAGAAGTTTGGAAGCCACTGGTTTAAGTTCCTCGCCAGAACTTTGTTTTGTAATTGTGCTTTTCACAATACTTCATGTAACATTATAGATGGTTTTCCCTCCCAGCTACATTTTAAAGAGGGCAGTTTCTGTGCTCTCTTGGGACTCAAAATTAAGTAACTCATTGCACTGCGAGGCGGCAACACACACCAGTTGGAGCAGTGATTGAGAATCATGTGACACATTCAGATCCCACTTCCACCTCCTCCTCATGGTGTGATGGGGGAAGGGGGACAAGGCAACATACCTCAGTTTCCTTATCCATAAAATAGGGGTCATCATGCCCCTCACAGGGTGGAGTGAAGAGAGTCTGTCAAAGAGAAAGATGTTCAACAAAGGTTTCTTCCTTAGCTGCTGCTGTTCCTTATTTTTATTATTATTATTATTATTATTATTTTTGAGATAGAGTCTCTGTCACCCAGGCTGGAGTACAGTGGTGCGATCTCAGCTCACTGCAAACTTTGCCTCCTGGGTTCAAGTGATTCTTCTGCCTCAGCCTCCTGAGTAGCTGGGATTATAGGTGCTTGCCACCATACCAGGCTAATTTTTGTATTTTTAGTAGAGATGGGTTTTGCCATGTTGGTCAGGCTGGTCTCGAACTCCTGACCTCAGGTGATCCACCTGCCTAAAGTGTTGGGATTCAGGCATGAGCCACCGCGCCCAGCCCCTAGCTTCTTCCTAACAGCCATTTCCTAGTGTCTCCCCTGGTCCTTGCCTCTGTCGGTCTCACTCCAGTTTCTCTGCCTCCTCCAGGGCCCTTTGTTTGCTCTCTTACCATCTCCCCTTTGGCTTCAGGGCCCTTTACGCTGCCTCTCACTTGCCCCGCACAGATCTTCAGCTTTGAGATCAATGTGAGCGTTGCCATTATCACCTTTGCCTCAGAGCCCAAAGTCCTCATGTCTGTCCTGAACGACAACTCCCGGGATATGACTGAGGTGATCAGCAGCCTGGAAAATGCCAACTATAAAGGTACGGGTGTCATCACGTGATGGTGATGAGAGAGGAGAAGATGGACCCTCTCAGGGCCTGCAAACAAATTCTGGATGAGTTAAAAAGAGAGTGAGGCCTCTTGGTGGCACCTGAGTCCCACGAGTCTGGGGTAGTTTCAACGTCCAGGGTTATGGTGGGGGAGTCCAGCTGCCCCCAGCTCATAGCTCATTCTGAGATGCTGCAGGTCCAAAGACACTGTGCAGGTCTTCAATTCCTTCCAGTTGCCAAAACCACACTGTCTGGTTTGCATGGCTGCACACTGCCATCTCCCCATGTCATTAGCCACCCATACACCATGTAAAG
The DNA here is from genome assembly GCF_000001405.40 of Homo sapiens. Classification (NCBI taxonomy): domain Eukaryota; kingdom Metazoa; phylum Chordata; class Mammalia; order Primates; family Hominidae; genus Homo; species Homo sapiens. Next base: position 3,192,360 of record NT_167248.2, read on the forward strand.
TGCCTGGTTGGCACTTAGCAAATGGCTGAAGCCACTCAAGGTTTTGGAAACCTCATCTTTGAATCTTGGGACTTTAGTGTGGTCTTGGATTGGGGTTATGCAATGAACATTTCTTTTTTCTTCTTCTTTTTTTTTTTTTTGAGGTGGAGTCTCGCACTGTCACCCAGGCTTGAGTGCAGTGGCACGATCTTGGCTCACTGCAACCTCTGCCTCCAGGGTTCAGGCAATTCTCCTGCCTCAGCTTCCCGAGTAGCTGAGATTTCGGGCACCTGCCACCATGCCTGGCTAATTTTTTATATTTTTAGTTGAGATGGGGTTTCACTATGTTGGTCAGGCTGGTCTCGTGATCCTGACTTTGTGATCCGCCCACCTCAGCCTCCCAAAGTGCTGGGATTACAGGCGTGAACCACCTTGCCCGGCCCTATGCAATGAACATTTCTAAGGTGGAAAGGCTTTTAAAGTTTGAACAAGCAATGATGCCACATCTCTATCTGAATGGCAAATGTCTGAGTTTATCAAAACAATCGATAAATTGCATTTCCAGGCCGGGTGCAGTGGCTCATGCCTGTAGTAATCCCAGCACTTTGGGAGGCTGAGATGGGCGGATCACTTGAGGTCAGGAAACCAGCTTGGCCAACATGGTGAAACCCCATCTCTACTAAAAATACAAAAAATTAGCTGGGCATGGTGGCTGGCACCTGTAATCCCAGCTACTTGGGAGACTGAGGCATGAGAATCACTTGAACTGGGGAGGTGGAGGTTGCAGTCAGCCAAGATCACGCCACTATACTCTAGCCTGGGTGGCAGAGCGAGACTCTCTCAAAAAAAAAAAAAAAATTGCATTTCCAATAATTGGGGGAATAGAGTGATTCCCTACCCCTAGGTGGTAGGTGGGAAGTTTCTAAGAGAGTCCTTCCTTTTGGCATATTCCAGATCATGAAAATGGAACTGGGACTAACACCTATGCGGCCTTAAACAGTGTCTATCTCATGATGAACAACCAAATGCGACTCCTCGGCATGGAAACGATGGCCTGGCAGGAAATCCGACATGCCATCATCCTTCTGACAGATGGTGGGTATCATGGTCTCTGAGTGTGTCTGGAATAGTGGAAGGGGCACCAATATGGGGTCAGAAGCCCTGAATTCTGATTCTCCCTCTGCCTGCCACTTTGGGCCCCAGTTTTGTTTTTGTTTTTAGAGATGGGGCCTTGCTATGTTGCCCAGCTGATCTCAAACTCCTGGCTTCAAGCAATCCTCCTGCCTCAGCCTCCCAAAGTGCTGGGATTACAGGCATGAGCCACCACACCTGGCCCAGTTTCTTATTTATAAAATAGGGCCAGTGTGGTGGCTTATGCCTGTAGTCCCAGCACTTTGGGAGGCCAAAGCGGGTGGATCACTTGAGGTTAGGAGTTTGAGATCAGACTGGCTAACATGGTGAAACCCCGTCTCTACTAAAAATACAAAACCATTAGCTGGGTGTGGTGGCAGGCGCCTGTAATCCCAGCTACTTGGGAGGCTGAGGCAGGAGAATTGCTTGAACCTGGGAGGCAGAGGTTGCAGTGAGCCAAGATCATGCCACTGCACTCCAGCCTGGGTGACAGACCAAGATCCTACCTTGTCTCAAAATAAAATAAATAAATAAATAGAATTAGTGTTGATGATGATGACCGTAACCACAATGACAGCAATGATGATCATGATGGCTGTCCTCCTTTCCTTACACAATTTTTATGGAAAGCTATTTAAGTTGCCTGTGTGAAAGTGCTCTGTGTTAGCTCTTGTTACCATCTGGGAGGTAACTTGGAGATAGATGAGGAAACGTGGCTCTTGAGCAGGAATGTCGAAGGGCACGGATGCAAGGAACAGTCTGTAGTGGATCTGGCCTTGTCATTTGCCTCTTGCTATTGTCCAAATTACACAGTTCCTCCAGGACTTAGTATATAAAATGAGGATACCCACTCTACCTGGGGTTTCATGAGAATTAAATGAGTTAAAGTATAGGAAGCACCTGGCCTGGTGCCTGGAATGTAGAACATTTCAGTAAAAGTGTGTATATATATATATGTATGTATATATATATATATGTATACATACATATATATATATATATATTTATTTTTTTGAGACAGGGTCTCACTCTATTGCCCAGGCTGGACTACAGTGGTGCGATCTCGGCTCACTGCAACCTCTGCCTCCCAGGCTGAAGCAATTCTCGTGCCTCAGCCTCCAGAGTAGCTGGGACTACAGGCATGTGTCACCATGCCTGGCTAATTTTTATTTTTATTTTTTGAGATGGAGTTTCACTCTTGTTGCCCAGGCTGGAGTGCAATGGCGCGATTTCGGCTCACCGCAACCTCCGCCTCCCAGGTTCAAGCGATTCTCCTGCCTCCTGAGTAGCTGGGATTACAGGCATGTGCCACCACACCCGGCTAATTTTGTATATTTAGTAGAGGTGCGGTTTCTCCATGTTGGTCAAGCTGGTCTCAAACTCCCAACCTCAGGTGATCCACCTGCCTTGGCCTCCCAAAGTGCTGGGATTACAGGCATGAGCCACCATGCCCGGCCACACCTGGCTAATTTTTTGTGGTTTTAGTAGAGACAGGGTTTCACCATGTTGCCCAGGCTGGTCTGGAACTCCTGAGCTCAGGCAATCCGCCTTCTTCGGTCTCCCAAAGTGCTAGGATTACAGGTGTGAGCCACCATGCCCAGCCTAAAAGTATATTTTGAAGCTCTCACAGGCAATGTAAATGTTGAGGTTCCCAGGCTAAATGCTTTCCTACTCTTCCAGGGCCTGGGGAAATCCTGATATTACCTAGAAGAATTCTTTATTCTCTTTGTTCTAGGAAAGTCCAATATGGGTGGCTCTCCCAAGACAGCTGTTGACCATATCAGAGAGATCCTGAACATCAACCAGAAGAGGAATGACTATCTGGGTGAGCCCCTGCCACTGCCACCACATTTGTTCTGCTCCTGCAGAGGTCATGAGATCTTCAGCCAGGGATCCCAGCATCTTAGCTATGGTCCAGAGCCACATGGTTTTATTTCTGCGTTGTTCTGTACAAAGGCAACTCATGTTGAAGAGCCTGGGGTCAAACTACTGCCCATGGTCTCAACCTTACCTTCTTTTTTTTTTTTTTTTTTTTTAAGACAGTGTCTCACTGACACTCAGAGTATATTCCTGGAAAGATGTCCACCCATGCCGGCCCAGAAGCTGGTCCAGAAAGTAACGATGTCCACCATGCCACCATGAAGTGCAGTGGTGCAATCATAGCTTACTGCAGCCTCAAATTCCTGGTTTCAAGTGATCCCCTCAACTCAGCTTCCCAAAGTGGTAGGATTACAGGTATGAGCCACTATGCTCAGCCCGTCTTCACAAATTTTTTAAAATTAATTTTTAAATTTTTTTTGAGACAGAATCTTGCCGTGTTGCCCAGGCTGGAGTGCAGTGACTCGATCTCAACTCACTGCAACCTCCACGTCCTGGCTTCAAATGATTCTCCTGCCTCAGCCTCCAGAGTAGCTGGGATTACAGGTGTGTGCCACCATGCCCGGCTCATTTTTGCATTTTTAATAGAGACAGAGTTTCACCATGTTGGCAGTCTGGTGTCAAACCCCTGGCCTCAAGTGATCCGCCTGCCTTGGTCTCCCAAGGTGCTGGGATTACAGATAGGCGTGAGCCACTGTGCCTGGCCAATTTTTAATTTTTTAATTATTATTTTTAATCAACAGCTTTAGACAGAGAACCTTGGTTTCATCTTCAGTGGGCTGTGGCCATGGGCAGTTTCTTCATCTGCAAAAGGGGAGTAGTACTAGGACCCAGCTCACAAGCTGACAGGGGAAGATGCTCAGACAAACACTGCCTGCCTGGCATAGAAAAATGCCCAGCATATGTTAGCCATGACCACGACCGTCGTCGTTATCATCATCATCATCATCATAGCATCTCATGTTTCAGGAAACTTTCCAGGAAGAAGGGACCTCGATTCCCTCTGGGGAATGTCCCTGGTGGTTGCTCTTTCAGCAGCACAGCTGGCTAACTAAGGCTTTGGCAGTTGCAGCCTCTAAAGGAAAAATTCCTCAGGTTCAGACTAAACACAAATTGCACTGACCTTTGATCAGAAAGTAATTTCAGAGAGAGAGATGCTCAGACAGGGAGGGCAGCTGGTTTTGAGCCCCAACCTTTCATCTTCCCCTTAGCTCCTCTCCTTTCCATTCACACTGCCCCCTCCCCCATCACCTGGCCCTCGGGGGTAAGCTGATTCCTCTTTAAAACTCTGGCCCAAGGAAGACAAAATTTAAAGCCCACTCCCTTCCTCCTTAGCATCACTGGACCAAGGTCAAATGCTACAAAAACATTTTATTGAAAATAAGCAGGAAACCAAACGAAAATAGTCAAAGAAAACGCACAAGGCACGATCGTTGTCTAGCTCCAACTGTAACTGTTTCTATCTGGGCCATTGCCAGATTGCCTCCTGGCTGAAGATCTCTTGGTCCACCTAAGCACCTTGCTTTTTACACACAACGCGGGGCTCTCTGAGAACAAAAATGGGCCACAAGGGGTGCAAAGGCTGGGAGAGGAGTAGACTCTGTGGTCTGTCTGAGGGCAGTTCTGACTGGCACCACAGTCGGAGGACAGGCGCGGCCTGTTGTGTGGGTCCAGGGCCTCCAGTGGGAAAACGTGGCTTTAGGCCCTTCTCCCAGATGCTACCTTTTACAGAGGAAGACCAGATCTGAGGTTTAGTTTCCATGTTGTGTTCTGAGTTCTTTCTATTCATTCAGTCATTTAAAAGTACTTACCAAACTACCACAAACCTGGGTGGCTTAGAACACAGAATTTCTTTTTCTTACAGTTCTGGAGGTTAGAAGTCTGAAATCAAGGTGTTGGCAGGGCCGTGCTTCCTCAGAAGGCTCTTGGGAAGAATTCTTTCCTGCCTTTTCCGGCTGCCGGCAGCTCCAACCTTGGCTTGCGGCAGCATAAACCCATTCTCTGCCTCTGTCTTCAACTCGCCTTCTTTTCTGTGTGTGCCTCTGTGTCATTACATGCTGTTCTCTTATATAGATAGGAGACCCACTACCTGTGTCTTTGTGTCCAAATTCCTTTCTTCTTTTTCTGTTCATTTGTTTGAGACAGAGTCTCGCTCTGTCACCCAGAAGCCCAGGCTGCAGTGCAGTGGCGGGATCCCGGCTCACTGTAACCTCTGCCTCCTGGGTTCAGGTGATTCTCGTGCCTCAGTCTCCCAAGAAGCTGGGATTACAGGCATGTGCCACCATGCCCGGCAAATTTTTGTATTTTTAGTAGAGACATGGTCTCGCCATGTTGGCTAGGCTGGTCTTAAACTCCTGGCCTCAAGGCGATCTGCCTGCCTTCGCCTCAAAAAAACTGCCGGGATTACAGGCATGAGTCACCACCATGCCCAGCCAGTTCACTTTTTTTTTTTTTTTTTTTTTTTGAGATGGAGTCTTGCTCTGTTGCCCAGGCTGGAGTGCAGTGGTGCAATCTCGGCTCACTGCAACATCCGCCTCCCGGTTCAAGCGATTCTCCTGCCTCAGCCTCCTGAGTAGCTGGGATTACAGGTGTGTGCCAGCATGTCTGGCTAATTTTTGTATTTTTAGTAGAGACAGGGTTTCACCATGTTGGTCAGGCTGGTCTTGAATTCCTGACCTCGTGATCTGCCCGCCTCAGCCTCCCAGAGTGCTGGGATTACAGGTGTGAGCCACCGTGCCCGGCTCACCTCTTCTTTTTTTTTTTTTGAGACGGGGTTTTGCTCTTGTTGCCCAGGCTGGAGTGCAATGGCGCGATCTTGGCTCACCACAACCACCGCCTCCTGGTGATTACAGGTGTGAGCCACCACGCCTGGCTCTGGCTTACCTCTTCTTATAAGGACCTCAGTCATTGGATTAGAGCTCACCCTAATCTAGTATGACTTAATCTTAACTTGATTACATCTGCAAAGACCCTTTTTCCAAATAAAGTCACAGATACTGGGGATTAGGACTCGAACACATCTTTCTGGGGGACACAATTCCACCATTACAGGGAATAAACAGGATAAGAAAACCATAGAACCCAGCAGGTGGTAGGTGACACAAGCTAAGGGGTGTTGCCATGTTGCCCAGGCTGGTCTCAAACTTCTGGCTTCAAGGGATCCTCCCACCTTGCCTCCCAAAGTGGGGATGAAAGTTTGTCTGGGGCATTGCAGTTTTAGACAGGAAGACCAGGGAAGGCCTCACTGAGAAGGTGACATTTGAGCCAAGACTTAAAAAGGTACGAAAGTGAGCCATGTGGAAGTCTGGGGGGGAGGAGTGAACTAGGCAGAGGCACAGCTGGGCAAAGGGCCTGAGGTGTGACCATGCCTATGGATTTGAGGAACTTCAAAGAGGCTGTGTGCTGCAGGAGAGTGAAGGGCAGGGAGTGGCAGGAAATGAAGGCAGACAGGTAGCAGTGGGGAGGACGCAGGGGTCCAGCTCATGTAGGTCTTGATTGGACACAGTGAGTTTCAGATGACAGCCTCCTGTCTCATGGGGTAGCCCCAAAGCCACAGGAGTCTGGTGATTTCCCTCTTCCCCACCAGACATCTATGCCATCGGGGTGGGCAAGCTGGATGTGGACTGGAGAGAACTGAATGAGCTAGGGTCCAAGAAGGATGGTGAGAGGCATGCCTTCATTCTGCAGGACACAAAGGCTCTGCACCAGGTCTTTGAACATATGCTGGGTGAGTGAGCTTTGCCCTCCTTGGTGTGGGGAGGATGGTGAGGAGCCCGCCAGAGGCCCGTGTTGGGAACCTGGACACAGTGCCCCTCACTTGCCTCCTTCCCCATCTGATCCTCACACCCACAGATGTCTCCAAGCTCACAGACACCATCTGCGGGGTGGGGAACATGTCAGCAAACGCCTCTGACCAGGAGAGGACACCCTGGCATGTCACTATTAAGGTACCAGGAAGGAGGGGCAGGGCTTGGATTCCAGAGGTAAAAGCGGCCATGGGCCAGACATACTGCAATCTCTGAAAATCACCTGTTCCCCTGCAGCCCAAGAGCCAAGAGACCTGCCGGGGGGCCCTCATCTCCGACCAATGGGTCCTGACAGCAGCTCATTGCTTCCGCGATGGCAACGACCACTCCCTGTGGAGGGTCAATGTGGGTAAGGCAGGGGATGCACCAGCCTCCTGATCCTGAAGCCACAGATCCTACCACCTCACCCAGCCTCTGGCCCCTGCAGGAGCCCTGGTCTAGCCTAATCTAGTGTATCATTTCCAGGAGACCCCAAATCCCAGTGGGGCAAAGAATTCCTTATTGAGAAGGCGGTGATCTCCCCAGGGTTTGATGTCTTTGCCAAAAAGAACCAGGGAATCCTGGAGTTCTATGGTGATGACATAGCTCTGCTGAAGCTGGCCCAGAAAGTAAAGATGTCCACCCATGCCAGGTGCCTGGAGTCTGGGATGGGAGGGTGCCCTGCAGGGAAGAGTGCTCTGGAGATCCCTGGAAGAGATACTGGGGACAGGCTGGTGTGACCCTTGCTCTTCTCCCCAGGCCCATCTGCCTTCCCTGCACGATGGAGGCCAATCTGGCTCTGCGGAGACCTCAAGGCAGCACCTGTAGGGACCATGGTGAGTGCTGGGACTTATGGTGCTTGAGAGCTGGGGCCGGGGTTTGGGGGTGATAACAAGGACTAGGCTGCAGTCCCCAAGCCAGGAACCTGGATTCTGGGTAAAAGGACCAGCACCAACATCCCCTTCTCTTGACTATAGAGAATGAACTGCTGAACAAACAGAGTGTTCCTGCTCATTTTGTCGCCTTGAATGGGAGCAAACTGAACATTAACCTTAAGATGGGAGTGGAGGTGAGGGTCTCAGGTTGGGGATGCTGGGATCCCCCTGTGACAGCTCCCAGAATGTCTCTCTTCCTTCTCCAGGTCTGGCTGCTTTCTCTCTCTGACGCGGGTCACCCCTCCTCCCAAGCCTCACAAACCTGCTAGGTGTCCCTGGGTCTGCTTATTCTTTTTTTGTTGTTATTGAGATGGAGTCTTGCTCTGTCTCCCAGGCTGGAGTGCAGTGGCACGACCTCAGCTCACTGCAACTTCTGCCTCCTGGGTTCAAGCGATTCTCCTACTTCAGCCTCCCGAGTAGCTGAGATTACAGGTGCCCACCACCACACCAGCTAATTTTTGTATTTTTAGTAGAGACGGGATTTCGCCATGTTGGCCAGGATGGTCTTGAACTCCTGACCTCAAGTGATCTGCCTGCCTCAACCTCCCAAAGTGCTGAGATTACAGGCGTGAGCCACTGCACCCACCCGGGTCTGCTTATTCTACCCTTCTCTCTGGTTCCACCCCTGCTGCAGTGGACAAGCTGTGCCGAGGTTGTCTCCCAAGAAAAAACCATGTTCCCCAACTTGACAGATGTCAGGGAGGTGGTGACAGACCAGTTCCTATGCAGTGGGACCCAGGAGGATGAGAGTCCCTGCAAGGGTGAGTCCCTCACCATGCCTGGATTCCCAAGGGGAAGGCCACCTGTGTCTCTGTGGCCAGCATGCATGCCAGAACACCAGTCCACTGCCCTAGATGACACTGTCTCCTGTCACCCTTTGCTGGCAGGAGAATCTGGGGGAGCAGTTTTCCTTGAGCGGAGATTCAGGTTTTTTCAGGTGAGAAGGTAGAAGCTTGCAGGACCCAGGGGTTACAGGATCTCAGCCTTGTTGGGGGGATGAGGGAGGCCTTTGAGGGATCTAGGGAGGTTGGGGCTTACAGTTGGGGCTGTGGCAGCCTCCCAGCCAGTTCTCTCCTTTTCTCCAGGTGGGTCTGGTGAGCTGGGGTCTTTACAACCCCTGCCTTGGCTCTGCTGACAAAAACTCCCGCAAAAGGGCCCCTCGTAGCAAGGTCCCGCCGCCACGAGACTTTCACATCAATCTCTTCCGCATGCAGCCCTGGCTGAGGCAGCACCTGGGGGATGTCCTGAATTTTTTACCCCTCTAGCCATGGCCACTGAGCCCTCTGCTGCCCTGCCAGAATCTGCCGCCCCTCCATCTTCTACCTCTGAATGGCCACCCTTAGACCCTGTGATCCATCCTCTCTCCTAGCTGAGTAAATCCGGGTCTCTAGGATGCCAGAGGCAGCGCACACAAGCTGGGAAATCCTCAGGGCTCCTACCAGCAGGACTGCCTCGCTGCCCCACCTCCCGCTCCTTGGCCTGTCCCCAGATTCCTTCCCTGGTTGACTTGACTCATGCTTGTTTCACTTTCACATGGAATTTCCCAGTTATGAAATTAATAAAAATCAATGGTTTCCACATCTCTCAGTGCCTCTATCTGGAGGCCAGGTAGGGCTGGCCTTGGGGGAGGGGGAGGCCAGAATGACTCCAAGAGCTACAGGAAGGCAGGTCAGAGACCCCACTGGACAAACAGTGGCTGGACTCTGCACCATAACACACAATCAACAGGGGAGTGAGCTGGATCCTTATTTCTGGTCCCTAAGTGGGTGGTTTGGGCTTACTGGGGAGGAGCTAAGGCCGGAGAGGAGGTACTGAAGGGGAGAGTCCTGGACCTTTGGCAGCAAAGGGTGGGACTTCTGCAGTTTCTGTTTCCTTGACTGGCAGCTCAGCGGGGCCCTCCCGCTTGGATGTTCCGGGAAAGTGATGTGGGTAGGACAGGCGGGGCGAGCCGCAGGTGCCAGAACACAGATTGTATAAAAGGCTGGGGGCTGGTGGGGAGCAGGGGAAGGGAATGTGACCAGGTCTAGGTCTGGAGTTTCAGCTTGGACACTGAGCCAAGCAGACAAGCAAAGCAAGCCAGGACACACCATCCTGCCCCAGGCCCAGCTTCTCTCCTGCCTTCCAACGCCATGGGGAGCAATCTCAGCCCCCAACTCTGCCTGATGCCCTTTATCTTGGGCCTCTTGTCTGGAGGTAAGCGAGGGTAACCTTCCCTTCCTGCTGTCTCCAGCATCCCTCCTTGGCCTTTTGGGGCCAGGCTTCATCAGCCTTTCTCTTCAGGTGTGACCACCACTCCATGGTCTTTGGCCCGGCCCCAGGGATCCTGCTCTCTGGAGGGGGTAGAGATCAAAGGCGGCTCCTTCCGACTTCTCCAAGAGGGCCAGGCACTGGAGTACGTGTGTCCTTCTGGCTTCTACCCGTACCCTGTGCAGACACGTACCTGCAGATCTACGGGGTCCTGGAGCACCCTGAAGACTCAAGACCAAAAGACTGTCAGGAAGGCAGAGTGCAGAGGTTTGAGGGCAATGAGTGTGGGCAGTGGCCTAAGGCAGAAACAGGGCAGGCGGCAGCAAGGTCAGGACTAGGATGAGACTAGGCAGGGTGACAAGGTGGGCTGACCGGGAGTAGGAGCAGTTTTAGGGTGGCAGGCGGAAAGGGGGCAAGAAAAAGCGGAGTTAACCCTTACTAAGCATTTACCCTGGGCTTCCAGGCAGCCCTGGAAGTCAAGAGAACACTCAGAAATGGGGAGGGAGAAGCAGTGGAAATCCATATGGGTTGAGGAGTAGGTAAGATGCTGCTTCTGCGGGACTGGGAATGCGCTGTTTCTCAGTGACATGGTCTCCGAGACCAGGAGGGATACACCTAAGGCAGCCTTTCCCTCTTGATGACTTCTACTTGTCCCCCCTTCTCAAAGCAATCCACTGTCCAAGACCACACGACTTCGAGAACGGGGAATACTGGCCCCGGTCTCCCTACTACAATGTGAGTGATGAGATCTCTTTCCACTGCTATGACGGTTACACTCTCCGGGGCTCTGCCAATCGCACCTGCCAAGTGAATGGCCGGTGGAGTGGGCAGACAGCGATCTGTGACAACGGAGGTGAGAAGCATCCCCTCCCCCTACATTGCTGTCTCCCTGACGGCGCCCAGCCCGAGGAGTGGGCACTCGGCTCCGGACACTGTAACTCTTGCTCTCTACCTTGCTCACGGGGCCTCAGGCTTCAGTGCTTACCTCGATGTCTCATACCTCTGCAGCGGGGTACTGCTCCAACCCGGGCATCCCCATTGGCACAAGGAAGGTGGGCAGCCAGTACCGCCTTGAAGACAGCGTCACCTACCACTGCAGCCGGGGGCTTACCCTGCGTGGCTCCCAGCGGCGAACGTGTCAGGAAGGTGGCTCTTGGAGCGGGACGGAGCCTTCCTGCCAAGGTGACCTTTGACCTGTACCCCCAGGTCAGATCCTGGTCTTCCATCCTACTGTCTTCTCTCCCCACCTCAACCCTGCTCTTTCCTCACTTTGTTTAAACCTCCCTGTACAACTATCTCACTTCTGAGCCTTTTATACCCTGGAAACCCATGATCCCCCGTCTCTTTGGTCACTGTATCCCTGACACTCCCAGACATTTGACCTCATTTCTGACTCTCCCAGACTCCTTCATGTACGACACCCCTCAAGAGGTGGCCGAAGCTTTCCTGTCTTCCCTGACAGAGACCATAGAAGGAGTCGATGCTGAGGATGGGCACGGCCCAGGTTTGAAGACAGAGAAGGGAGGCAGGGCAGGGAACTGGGGGAAAATGGAGAAGGGACAGAACTGTTAATGCTGGAGCCTGAGCCACTCTCCTGGCACCCAGGGGAACAACAGAAGCGGAAGATCGTCCTGGACCCTTCAGGCTCCATGAACATCTACCTGGTGCTAGATGGATCAGACAGCATTGGGGCCAGCAACTTCACAGGAGCCAAAAAGTGTCTAGTCAACTTAATTGAGAAGGTGGAATCCTCCTATCCCTGAACTCGGGGGAATGGAATCTCGCTGATCTTCCAGGACTAGCTCCCTGATCATTCCAGCCCCTCTGAACAACAGGGCCCCAGGAAAATCTCCAGGTCCTATTCTGTCCTCCTTCCCTTTTACTTGAAGCAGTTTCTTGACTGGTAATTCCTCCATGAACCTCAGCCCTTGAGCCTCTTACTGAGAGCCTCCCTGTCCCAGCAAAGTCGCTGAAATCTCCCAATCACAGTATTCTATTTTCAATGCCATGGCGCCTTGTTCTCCTCACCCACAGGTGGCAAGTTATGGTGTGAAGCCAAGATATGGTCTAGTGACATATGCCACATACCCCAAAATTTGGGTCAAAGTGTCTGAAGCAGACAGCAGTAATGCAGACTGGGTCACGAAGCAGCTCAATGAAATCAATTATGAAGGTCAGAGGTTAGGGAATGGTGGGAGGTTCACTTTGGGGTCAGGAGGTTCAGGGTGGAGGGGGTCATGAGACTACCTTGAGGGCGACAGGGAGGACCACTTTGTAGTCAAAGGTTGAACAGCAGGATCGTTGGGCAATGGAGGTTAGTGGGAACCTGTTGGGGGCTGGAAGGGCCACTTTGTGGTCAAAGGGAAGTCCGTGTAATGATGATTAACTTAAAAAGTTGAAAGATGTGGGATTTCAGTTGCAGATTGGTCTCTGGGGTTAAAAGATGGCTTGGAAGACCAGGTGAGGTGATGGTCTCTTCCCTCTCCACAGACCACAAGTTGAAGTCAGGGACTAACACCAAGAAGGCCCTCCAGGCAGTGTACAGCATGATGAGCTGGCCAGATGACGTCCCTCCTGAAGGCTGGAACCGCACCCGCCATGTCATCATCCTCATGACTGATGGTCAGAAGGGACCTCTCTCCTGTCCCAGCCTCCCCACCTTCTCAGACCAGCATGTGGCCCTTAAGTCCACTTGTAACACTATACCCATGGTTGGGGCCCTGAATGTGACTCATAGCTGGCTGTTCATCTCTCCTGTGACCCTTCATAAGGAATTCTTCCTAAGCCCTGTGATCAACTATCTCTAACCCTTCCTCAACTTGCTCACCCTGCCATGTGTATCCCTGCCTTTAGCCAGTTTATCTTCCTTATCTCCTACCCTCATGGTCCTGTCTCTTCTGCAGGATTGCACAACATGGGCGGGGACCCAATTACTGTCATTGATGAGATCCGGGACTTGCTATACATTGGCAAGGATCGCAAAAACCCAAGGGAGGATTATCTGGGTGAGTAACCTGCCTAGGACCCAGCACCCCACTTCCTCAGGGCTTGGACCCTCATCCTTCCTTTTTATCCCTCAGATGTCTATGTGTTTGGGGTCGGGCCTTTGGTGAACCAAGTGAACATCAATGCTTTGGCTTCCAAGAAAGACAATGAGCAACATGTGTTCAAAGTCAAGGATATGGAAAACCTGGAAGATGTTTTCTACCAAATGATCGGTAGGGAGATACAAGGGAATAAAGAACACAACTCTCCTCAGGTTCCCCTGAAGTAATTCATTCTTCCTCTACACCTGAAGCTCTAGTTGCCTGGAAAGCCTTCTTCATTCCTCCTTCTCTACCTCAGTGTCACTATTCTTGTTTCCTGGCACTGTTCACTTAACCTTAGAATCACAGAGCTCTGAGCACTTCAGAGATCTTTCTATAGTCCTACATTTGACACGTGGAAACAGAAGCCAAAGGAGGTCAAGGGACAGCAAGTTAGCAACAAGGGTGGGCTTGAAAACAGCCAGGCCTCTGACAGCTTGATCCCAAGTTCTTTCCCTTTTCAGTCCACCATAGCAGTTTTCTCCTAACACGAGGAAACAAATACCCGTGGTCTTTCCCTTTCTCCTTTTGGGCCTTTGCTCCCCATAGACTCCTACCCAAAAGGCTGCTGCCATTTGGGAATGAAGTGTTCCGAGTTTTCAGCACATTCTCCTTCTCTGCCAGATGAAAGCCAGTCTCTGAGTCTCTGTGGCATGGTTTGGGAACACAGGAAGGGTACCGATTACCACAAGCAACCATGGCAGGCCAAGATCTCAGTCATTGTAAGCACAGAATCCCAGTAGTGGGGACTTGGGGGAGGTGAGGTCAAGGTGAAATGGGAGTAGGGGAAGGAAAAAATGGCCATAAGAGATGGTGGTTTGTGAAAGTTGAGCTTTCCCTCTCTACTGTTGTGTCCCCAGCGCCCTTCAAAGGGACACGAGAGCTGTATGGGGGCTGTGGTGTCTGAGTACTTTGTGCTGACAGCAGCACATTGTTTCACTGTGGATGACAAGGAACACTCAATCAAGGTCAGCGTAGGTAAGGATGCAACTGAAGGTCCTGGGCTGCACCTATGCTCTCCAGGCAACACCTCCCACTTTCTACAGATCCTACACTCCACCCATCCTCAATGCAGCCCCATTCCTTGCACCCCAGACCAGTCAGGGATGGGGGAAGACGTGAAGTTAGGAATGACACGGGGCCAGAGGCAGGAAGCTGCCCACAAAGAGGTGGTACCTACTCTCCTACTTCAGGAGGGGAGAAGCGGGACCTGGAGATAGAAGTAGTCCTATTTCACCCCAACTACAACATTAATGGGAAAGAAGAAGCAGGAATTCCTGAATTTTATGACTATGACGTTGCCCTGATCAAGCTCAAGAATAAGCTGAAATATGGCCAGACTATCAGGTGAGAGCGTCCAGATCCCTGAGGAAAGGCTGGGAAAGGCTGGAGGACTGGGGTGAGGAGCAGGCCTGGTTTGCTGTTCTCCTTGTCCTTTATAGGCCCATTTGTCTCCCCTGCACCGAGGGAACAACTCGAGCTTTGAGGCTTCCTCCAACTACCACTTGCCAGCAACAAAGTAAGACATACTTGGCAAGAGGATAAGGATGAGATCCCAAGAGACAAGTGGGGCATGAGAGGGAGGTGCAATAGGAAGAGATGATGCCTGGCCCAGAACCTAGCTCTAGAAGGGCTTAGGGGACATCTACTGAGTGACAAAGGCAATGGGGAGATGACAGTGGTGGGAGCAGCTGAAGTGACGCAGTCTATTCGTCCAGAGGAAGAGCTGCTCCCTGCACAGGATATCAAAGCTCTGTTTGTGTCTGAGGAGGAGAAAAAGCTGACTCGGAAGGAGGTCTACATCAAGAATGGGGATAAGGTGAGAAACGGGCATCCTAAGGAGGCACTCTAGGCCCCAATCCTTCCTAAGCCACTTCTGTTCATTACTTCTCCATGCTTCCCACCTCCCCTACAGAAAGGCAGCTGTGAGAGAGATGCTCAATATGCCCCAGGCTATGACAAAGTCAAGGACATCTCAGAGGTGGTCACCCCTCGGTTCCTTTGTACTGGAGGAGTGAGTCCCTATGCTGACCCCAATACTTGCAGAGGTGAGAGAATGCTCTTTGGTTGTGCTACAAGTGCCCAAGGCCCAACAGTCCTTTTCTCTACAGCTTCTCCTCTCCTTGCAGGTGATTCTGGCGGCCCCTTGATAGTTCACAAGAGAAGTCGTTTCATTCAAGTGAGTCCTCCCTTTCCTATCTGGGGAGATGCCAAGTGGTCAGCATGGGCCCCAAAGCAGGAAAGCTCAATGCATGTGGCTAGTAATTCGAGGTAGGCAGAGCCTGCCTCACCTTAGGACCGCATGTCTTGCCTGCGTGTGTCAAGAACGAGGCTGAGCTGGGTCCCTAGTCTGATTCCTTTAGGTCAGCTAAGACGCAAGCAGGAACAGCCATGCTTCCAGGATTAGGAATTCTACTGAATGATCCATGGCACCCCACTGCCTCTGCAGGTTGGTGTAATCAGCTGGGGAGTAGTGGATGTCTGCAAAAACCAGAAGCGGCAAAAGCAGGTACCTGCTCACGCCCGAGACTTTCACATCAACCTCTTTCAAGTGCTGCCCTGGCTGAAGGAGAAACTCCAAGATGAGGATTTGGGTTTTCTATAAGGGGTTTCCTGCTGGACAGGGGCGTGGGATTGAATTAAAACAGCTGCGACAACACCTGTGTTCCAGATCCTTTTGGGGCAAGGGAGTGGGGAACAGGCACTGGCCATGTTGTTACACTGAGATCAAACCTGACAGCCGTTTTTAAAGGTTTAACCCCAATCCCAAGTGCTGAAAAACCAGAGGCTGAGGGAGATGTGTAAGCTTCCACCTCAGTGTTTTACTGAGACCAGCATTGGGGCATATGAGGCACAAGGAATCCAGCTCTGTTCCCTAGAAGCCATCCACAAGGTTTTCCTTGTAGACGTCATCACTGTAGACAATCTGGGTCCTCTTGTCCCGGTGGCAACCCTTAGGGCTGTTCTGGACAGCTAGGGAGGGAGGAGAGGAACAGTTAAGGTCTAAAGGAGATCATAGAACAGACCCTGAGGCTGACTCCTGACCACCTCACTCCTGGCCACTGGCCCCTGGAAGCCCAGTTTCCACGCTGCCCTCTGGTGGCCAGGATGGCCTGTCTTCCTTAGCTCCTTTGTGCCAACCCATGGCCAAGAAAAGTATAAGTGGACATTTTGATGAATGTTTTGTTCTTAGAAAAATCCCAAATGTCATTGTTGAGACACGTGAATGATATTAACCCACTACTTACAGTCAGTATGTCAGAAGCTAAAAACTAGAAAACCTCTGTAGCCCTTTTTTGACATGCTGGTCAATTCTAGTTCCTTTCTTTTGCCTGAAGGGCCACTGTAGCTGAGCCCTTCTTTCTGCTCACTCCTTTCCCAGGAAAATCTACTTTCAGGGAAAATGGATTATTCACACTAAGAAATGCTACTAGCTCCACCAGAACTCATTCAGGGTGTAGCTTTGGCCCTCACCATTCTCTCTCAAGCCTCTAGCTGTTTCTTCCCCTTCCTCTTTCCTCCCTCCACCAGACATGTTACTCTCTTCACCCCATCCAATGGTTCCATCCCCACCACCCTTGAGCTACAGAGAATCTCTCTCACCCACTCCCATCCTGTGATCTCTGTGCCTCAACACTGCTGGCTACTCCCTCTTTCTCAAAGTGTGTGTTCTTTTGCTTCAGTGGCCCAGGCCCCTGCGGTGCTGCTCCCAGCCCTCCGACCCCTCCTCCTGTCTCCTTTGCTAACGTTAGGCTCAACGTTAGCCTAACATGTCAGGACAGCTGGGGACATGTGGGGTGTGAGGTGAACAGTCCTGTTTCCTAACATAGTCCCAGAGTACTCCTCAAACTGAGTCCTGGGTCGTTTTTTTTTCTCTGAAATCAGAGTCTCCCTGATGATCCTATTGTTTGGCAGCCACCCTGTGATGTGGATGACTTAATCTATGTTTTCCTTCCTTACCTCACACCTGAGTTCCAGATCCCTGATTTCGAATACTTATGAAACTCACTCTACTCCATCTCAAAATGAACAAGCCCCATGAGACACTCATCTTCCTCACCAATCTCACTCCAGCTCCCACTTTCTTCCCTGTTCCAGTCACTGCTTTGGAAGCTGTTTTCAATCCTTTTCTCTCCTTTCTTTACCTCTAACTGACAGAGGATCTGAAATTTTCCTTCCCATTCCCATAGCCTCCGCACACACTCTGACCTCGATCATCTCTAGGAAACCCAAGGATGTGTGGGGGAACCAAAAGGAATGGCCTGTGGGGGAGAGGATGGGAAAGGAAGAATCCCATTCTTACCGAGGGAGCCCCAGACAGACTTGCCAGTAGCGGCATCCAGCATGGGCTGTTTTCGGGCTATGTTGACTTTGAGCTGTACAGACTCCACCTGGGTCCCGTTGAGCTGAAGCAGAAGAGGGGAGGCAGAGGATGGGGAGGAAAACATTACAGATAAACCAAAGAAGTTATTCCAGGAGTTGCTATCCTAGGAGGAGACTGAATAAGGAATCTGAGAATGTGAGTTTTTCTGTGTGAATAGGGAGAGGCTTTCTTTATCAAGAGGAACCAACTTCTTCCTGGCATCTAGTATTTTGAGGAGAACACATGAGAACAGCAGAAGCGATGGGAAGAACAGATTTGGGAAGTTCCAACCTCAGCAACGGCCTGATCTGCTGACTCCATCTTTTCATAGGTGACGAAGGCACAGCTGGGATAAGAGAAAACACGGTCAGTGGAGAGCCAAGGGGCTCTTCTGGACCCAACCAAACCCAGTGATAATAGGCGGCTGCAGGGAGGGCAGCTTCTTCCCTCAGGTCTCACACCCCAGGATTCTCCCAGGACTTCTCATCATGCCCTGTTGTCATCCTTACTTTCTGGGTGGGTCCATGGAGAGGTCAATGATGTTTCCAAAAGGAGAGAAGGCCCCACGGAGAAGGGTGGGTGTCATGTCTTCTCCATATACATAGAGAGTATTCCCTTTCCTAGGGGCTCGCCGTTCAGGGAATGAATCCGACCCTTTGGGAGCACAAATCATAGTCACAAGACATAGCCCATGCCACATTTCACTTAGTAGGACCCACATAAACCTCAGTTAAGGTCACCTTGACCTCCAGCCAAAATCACTCACTGCGGAAAGGACCCTCTCGGTCTCGGTCTCGATCCCGCTCCCGATCCCTGTCCCGTTCCCGGTCTCGATCTCGATCCCGATCCCGATCCCTGTCCCGCTCTCTGTCTCTGTCTCGATCCCGGTCTCGATCCCGCTCCCGATCTCGGTCTCTGTCCCGGTTCCTCTCATGGCTGCGGTCCCGGCTGCGGCTTCGGGGAGGGGAGGCTGAGGAGTGGGCACCACTGCGTTCTTCATAGCCCCAGTCAAAGCTTCGAGGGGGACCATCACCAGCCCCTGGGCCCTCTGCCTCTTCTCCATCTGGTCCTAGTTCTCGAAGTCGATCACTAGAAGACACAAAGCTGGGGAGATGCAGACTGAAGATCAAAGGGGGGTTTTACCTTCTCCCCTCAGACCCTGTGGAGACTCAATATTCCCTCTATAGCCCAGCTCCTACAGCCCAAACCTCCCAAGGACTCAGGCAATCAACTCCACCAAATGGGCCCAGCCTTATCTCTACTCTCTAACCTCTCATACAGAGATTTCCTCTGGGGACGTCTGGATGACTGTAAAAGAGACCAAGAACAGTTAAGATGATTTCCAGTTGCTGACATGTGGTCCAAAATATATTTGTCTCTCATATTCCTCCATCCCCAACCCCTCAGGGACAGAAATTAGGAGCCTTTACCTCTTGCAGGTCATCATCAGCAGATATGCTCCTCTGGAACGGCTGGAAAGTGGGGACTGGTCCCTTCTCGGGGTCCTGGAGTGGTGAGAGACCTACCTCAGTGTGGAGCAGGAGGTTGCCCAACCATGGACCAGAGGTGTTCCTCTTCCCTCACCCTCTTCTAGGTTTCCTCTGATCTTTTCTTCCCTTTTAATTCTACATACATTTCTTATTTGACGTGGTTTTACTTATTTTTTTTTTTTTTTTTTGAGACACGGTCCTGCTCTGTTGTCCAGGCTGGAGTGCAATAGAGCAATCGTAGCTTGCTGCAGCCTTGACCTCCCATGCTCAAGCAATCCTCCTACCTCAGCCTCCCTAGTAGCTGGGACTAGAGATGTGCTCTACCATGCTTGGCTAATTTCTGTATTTTTTTTTTTTTTTGTAGAGATAGGGTTTCACTATGTTGCCAGGGCTGGTCTCAAACTCCTGGGCTCAAGCAATCCTCCTACCTCGGCCTCCTAAAGTGCTGAAATTAACCAGGAATGAGCCATTGCCGCACCTGCCATTGTGGCTTGTTTTGTTTTTGAGACAGAATCTTGCTCTGTCGTCCAGGCTGGAGTGCAGTGGTGTGATCTCCACTCACTGCAACCTCTGCCTCCTGGGTTCAAGTGATTCTCTGGCCTCAGCCTCCTCAGTAACTGGGACTATAAGTGTGCACCACCACATTCTGCTAATTTTTTTTTTTTTTGAGACGGAGTCTCGCTGTCACCCAGGCTGGAGTGCAGTGGCACAATCTCGACTCACTGCAAGCTCCGCCTCCTGGGTTCAAGCAATTCTCCTGCCTCAGCCTCCCAAGTAGCTGGGACTACAGGCGCCCGCCACCACGCCCGGCTAATTTTTGTATTTTTAGTAGAGATGGGGTTTCACCTTGTTAGCCAGGATGGTCTCGATCTCCTGACCTCGTGATCCGCCTGCCTCGGCCTCCCAAAGTGCTGGGATTACAGGTGTGAGCCACCGCGCCCGGCCTCACACCCTGCTGATTTTTGTATTTTTAGTAGAGACGGGGTTTTACCATGTTGGCCAGGTTGGTCTTAAACTCCTAATCTCAAGTGATCTGCCCACCTCAGCCTCCCAAAGTGCTGGGATTACAGGCATGAGCCACCACGCCCAGCTGGTATTTTTTATAAGTGACTCGATATATTATGTATTCAGTTTATTTGAACCTCTCTTGAACCTGATAACATTTTCAGCCCTTTCCATCCCTTAGGGCAACATATTCCAAGAGCTCCAATCCAAGGTGGATTAGAACCACAGAATTTGTAAAATGGAGAATTCAGGAGTCGTCTAGTTTTTTCATTTTATACATGAGAGGTGAAACTCAGAATGGTACAGCAATTTGCCAGTGCTTGAGTATGCATATTTTTCCCCAAACCCATCTACATTCCAACTTGGAGGGATGCCCTTTAAACAATCTTTCTGCTTGTGCTCACCTTTAACTTCCCCTCAAGGGTTCGAGAACGCTTGAAGCCTGAGTTCTTGGTCTCAGCCTTGATGGCACTGATGGCTCCTGACTTCACCAGCTGCTTTGCCTGCTCTGTTGCTGTGGCTGTGTCCATGACAGGCTGCTCTGATAGTGCTGGAGAGACAAGGGGAAGAGGCATTATGTTGGCCAAGCCATGATGAAGGTCAGCTCCATGCTGCCCACTTCCAGTCCATCCCCATTTCCCCTGTCACTCACAGCGTTTGACACCACCTTGGCTGGTTGTGCTGCTGCTACTTTGCTTCTTCAGAGCCAGCAATGCCTTTTTCTGGGAACAAGGGTGAGAAGAGAGAGGTAAGTGAGGGCCAGCCCCTAGCCGGTTCCTCTCCTAAGGCCCCTGGGCACATCATTCCAGGGACCGTCTTTCTTGATGCCCTCAGAGTGGTACACTGATGTGCTCTGCCTCTTGCCTCTGGTCCCCTAGATCATGTATGATGCTGGAAATTCCTAATCTAACCAAACCACGGAACCCAGAGGTTTTCCAGAGTGTTACATTTTTGAAGTTGAAGACAAATAACTCAATCATGGACTAGAATCCTAGGATATAAGCTGCAAGTAAGTATAAGTTTATGTGCCTTTCCTGGAAGCTTCATCCATCTATTTCCTGCATATTGAATGAGGCCCAGCCATGACTTCGTAACAGGGATATCCAGGAGGCTAATGCATTGTTCCTACCCTCAAGAAGCTTACAGTCTGAGAAATAAAATACATTGAGTTAGCAATACAATTATAAGAGGTGCAGATTATTCATAGCTGAAAGCTAGTAAGATTTTCTGATGTTTAATGGCTATTAAACTAGGCCCTCTCCCGTATCTCTGCACAACACAGAGAGGAGAAGGGTATTTTAGAAAAAGAAAACAGGGTGGCAAAGATGCAGAGATAAGAAGGCTTTGGGAATGCATCTTTTGGAAGTAGTGAATAGTTCTACTTTACTAGACAAGGCTGCCAAACTAAGGTTTTGAGGCTTTTTTATAGACAATGTGAAGCCATTTATGGTTTTTGAGAAACAGAGGGAGCAGAATTTTGTGTTTTCAATGGATCATTTGAACAGGAGTGAAGAAGTCTGTTCAAAAAAAAAGACTGAGAAATTTGTTGAGAGACCATTACAATGGCCCACATGAATGTCAATAAAGCCCTGCTCGGGGGAATGCACAGTGAAGAATAAACAGGAAAAATTACTTCAAAAGAAGAAACAATAAGACTTGGCAAAGGTTTGACTATGCAAATAGTGGGGAAGTCAGAGTTTTGAGTCCAAACATGTGGCAGAATTGGTGTAGTCAATCTTATTTGGAAGATCAAGAATAGAAAGATGATAGCTTCAACACTGAGTATCTGAAGTTTTTCAGTATAACACTGGATAGAACTGGAAAAAACAAACTTGGGGATCATCAGCTCTTAAGCGGTACTAAAAGCCATGGGAAAGGAAGACAATCCATGGCAAATTGCATAGAAAAGACAGAAGGTCCACACCAAGGCTTGGGAAAGCCCACCTCTCGAAGCTACACTGTGAGGTGATATGTCTCTAGGTATGGGCCAGAAAAACTTCCCCATTCGCTCACACTCACCCCATATCTTCTCAGAGTGCAGAGTCTGTGAAAGGTTAGGCCATGTCCACACACAGTCCCTCACCTTTTTCTTGAGCTTGTTGAATTTCTTCTGCAGAGCCTCCTCTTCCTCGCTCAGTCCGGGGGGTATCACCAACATGGTGGCTCCTAGTTCAGGGGCAGGGCCCAAGACATCTTTCTCCACTGTTACCACCCGGGGTTCACACGCCGTCCACACTGTACCCAACCCCACCCCTTCAGGTCTGCCTACTCTTGTCTTTGGCTTTCCCTACCCCTTGCTTAAACCAGGCTGCTGTCCAAGCTCCCGCTGGTCGGGATCATCCAGCATTCCCTCCTGTCTCCAGGGATCACAGACACCAGCACCTTTAGGTACCATGTGGTTCAAGGAGGGACAAATATCCACTCCGTCGGAAAGACGATGGCACCCGACCCCCCTACCCTCGCTAGGGTAAGGACAACCGCGGGGTTTGAACGGCAGAGAAGGCGGTGGAGCCAGCGTAGCGCCCGCAGAGCAACGCAAAGAGGAAGAACAGAGAAACGGCTATGAGAAAAAGGGCCGAAGAGTGAGAAGCAGAGGGCCTTACCCGAGGGGGCGGCAACCGGGGGCCCCACGGTCTCCGGCCGCGCCCGCGCTGGCCGCTGATAGCGGGCTCACAACGATGACGTAGCGAGGAGCGGAAAACGCGGTAACCAAGGCGGCCCCAGGCGCGCACTTCCGCCCGGCCTTCCACCGGTCCAGGTCTGCCCCTCCGCAGCGATAGTTCACGCTCTCGGCGGGGCTGTACCGGAAGTTGCCTCTACTTCCGCCCGTTCCGGGGCGGGGCTTACTTCGCAGCGACTACTTGCCGCACTTCCGGGCTGCCAGGCAGCTGCTGTGGCTCCAGGATGATGGAGACAGAGCGACTTGGTGAGGGGGAGGGGAGGGAAATGGAACGGAGTAGCCGATATGGAATGAACTTTGACCCCTGACTTTTGACCTTTCCCCGTAGTGCTACCCCCTCCAGATCCCCTGGACCTACCCCTTCGGGCCGTGGAGCTCGGATGCACGGGGCACTGGGAGCTGCTGAACTTGCCTGGAGCTCCAGAGAGTAGCGTGAGTGACTTTTGACCCTAACCTTTGACCCGCATTGAGTCCAAACCTCCTTCACCCTCCTCACAGTAGGATCTAGCTTAACCTTGTTCATCTGTGCCTGTACTCCTGTCCATCCCAGCCTGAAGGGGTGCTGGACAGATTACAGCCCAGTGTACCTGCAGTACGTGTGAGGACAGAGCAGAAAGGGCTGGGGATATTTTTGCTTTGAGAGCTGCTCTTTCAAATGTGGCATTTCTCCGTGGAGCTCCCTTCTGTATCCAAGCACCAGGGCACTTGGTGACTGAGATGATAGGCTTTGAGCCTCCAACCTTTCATCCTTAGGTCTGGGACCCCTTTTTCTAAAATCAGTGAGTCTCCAATTTCAGTGTGCTTCATGATTAGCCAGGGAGCTTTTTAAAAATGCACATTCCTAGGTCCAGCCTCCATGTTTCTGAAATCCAAAATCTGCCCCAGGTAATTCAGTAGCAGGTAGTTTTTGGCCAAGCCTGATTGTCCTAGTCTGTTTGACACATCTGCCATTTCTGATCTGAACACAAGTCCCATCATCTCTTTTGTCTGCATTTTATCCTCTTTCCTTACCTAATGCCTCTCATCTTGCCCTTGTTTCAGCTTCCCCATGGCCTCCCTCCTTGTGCCCCAGATCTGCAGCAAGAAGCAGAACAGTTGTTTCTGTCATCCCCAGCCTGGCTGCCTCTGCATGGTGTGGAGCACTCAGCCCGGTGAGGAGTCTGGAGGGGCTTAGACTAGGGTGATGGGTTCCTGAAGGAAGCTGGGACAGAGGAAGAAAGAAGACCCAAAAGTTACTATTTTTCTCTCCAGAAAATGGCAGAGGAAGACGGATCCCTGGTCTCTTTTGGCTGTCCTGGGAGCCCCAGTCCCATCCGACCTACAGGCCCAAAGACACCCAACCACAGGCCAGATACTGGGTTACAAAGAGGTAGGAGGTCAGGGGTCATGAGAAACAGTTGGGGAGAAGGGGAGGTGGTCAGAGACAAGCTCAGCCTCATTGGGGCTCTGATCTCTTGCCTTAGGTCTTGCTGGAGAACACAAATCTCTCGGCTACAACCTCCTTGTCTCTTCGCCGGCCTCCAGGGCCAGCCTCCCAGTCCTTATGGGGAAATCCAACTCAGTATCCCTTCTGGCCAGGTGACTCTTGTGGAGATGGGATGGTAGAAGAGGGTGTCTTTAATCTCCAGGGAAGGGTTCCCCACCTATCTCGTATTACCCTCATCCCATGAATCCCTGTCTGTCCTGTCTCTTCCCAGGGGGGATGGATGAACCCACCATAACAGATCTGAACACACGGGAGGAGGCTGAGGAGGAGATAGACTTTGAGAAAGGTAAGGTGGGGCTCTGAGTCTGAGCCTTGAGGAGGAAGAGCCCAGGCTATCACTGGGCTACTGCTAGCCCTCCCATGTTTTTGAGAAAATTAGAAAAAGATATTCTGTCCATAACAACCTTTACTGTCATCTGCTGGGAAATTTCTACAACAACCTTTACTGTCATCTGTTGGGAAAGTGTCATAGCAAACATCCCTATCTACAGCATCTGTCCTGTAAATGGTATCTTTTAGGTTTATATAATGTACACAATTTGTTCACCAGTGTGCAGTGACCTGATTCCATGTCCCTATCCTACAGATCTTCTTACTATTCCACCTGGTTTCAAGAAAGGCATGGACTTTGCACCAAAAGGTTAGTTTTAGTTTTTGAGTGGGGTGTAGGAGAAGTCATGTCCTTCTCCTAAGGAACAGAGATGGACATGACAAGGTTGACCTTGTTGGCTTGCTCCTCAGATTGTCCAACTCCAGCTCCTGGACTACTAAGCCTTAGCTGTCTGTTGGAGCCTCTGGATTTGGGTGGGGGTGACGAGGATGAGAATGAGGCAGTGGGACAGCCAGGAGGTCCCAGAGGGGACACTGTTTCAGCCTCTCCCTGCAGTGCTCCCCTGGCCCGAGCAAGCAGCTTGGAAGACCTAGTGTTGAAGGTTGGTGGTTCTGTGTAGTGGAGGCAAGAAAGAGCCTTGCCACCAGGATGTGGGCTGGCTAGGATGGGTCTGAGGGGAAGAAAGGGACATCTTTTGGGAGGAGTGCTAATTGAGAGCCCTCTGGTTGTATCTTTATCACTGCTACCCCTGACTCTTCCAGGAAGCGTCCACAGCTGTATCCACCCCAGAGGCCCCAGAGCCTCCATCTCAGGAGCAGTGGGCCATCCCTGTGGACGCCACCTCCCCTGTTGGTGATTTCTATCGCCTCATTCCCCAGCCAGCCTTCCAGGTACTTTGGCCCCATCTTCACACGCTCCTCTACCTCTTTCTGGGTCACACTCCCAGCCGACCCCTTGTCTCCTCTATTGGCCAGAGGTCAGATCCATCCCAGGCCAGTCTTGGTACTCAGTCCCAGCCTCGGCTGGCTCCGGCCTTCATCCGCCCGCCCTGCGTGCTCCATGAGCAGGAGGCAGCAAGGCCCCGCTCCTTTCTTCAGCTCCTGTCTATTTCTCTCTCCCATAGTGGGCATTTGAGCCAGATGTGTTTCAGAAACAGGCCATCCTGCACTTGGAACGGCATGACTCTGTCTTTGTCGCAGCTCACACATCTGCAGGAAAAACAGTTGTGGCTGAATATGCCATTGCCCTGGCCCAGAAACACATGACACGGTATGAGTTCCTTTGCCAACCTCCCCCTTCACCAGCCAGCCCCATTTTCTCCTGCATCCTTTGAAAATCTCATCTCTTCCCCCACCTCTCTAGCTCATCCTTTAAGTGAGAGGTTCAGGGCTAAGACTGAGACAAGAGCCCAGAGAGAAATGAAAAGACATGGTGGGGAGAAAGTTTAGAAGAATGACCTGGGTTAGTTTAGGAAGGGGTTGGGGACAGAATTTTTCTGGGGTTATATCATGCAGGAGAATGTAAGGGCAGTTTGGGTGAAGAAGAGGAGCACCTGAGCTTCTGGGGCATGCTTCCACGAGGGCTCCATGTGGGAGAGGAAGTGCGGGCCATGAGTCTGCGGAGGGACTGGCTAACTTCATGCTCTCTTCCCAGCACCATCTACACTTCGCCCATCAAGGCCCTGAGCAACCAGAAGTTCCGGGACTTCCGAAACACATTCGGGGATGTGGGGCTGCTCACCGGGGATGTACAGCTGCATCCGGAGGCCTCCTGCCTCATCATGACCACAGAGATCCTTCGGTGAGAGATGGACACTCAATACAGGGGAGTTTTGGCTGGGAAGATGTGGCCGTTGTGGAGAGTGTGCTGTCTGAGGAGTGGGTGGAGACGAGCCACTGGGGAGTCAATCCTTGGCCTCTTCTCCCCAGCTCCATGCTGTACAGTGGCTCAGATGTTATTCGGGACCTGGAGTGGGTCATCTTTGATGAGGTTCACTATATCAACGATGTCGAGGTAAGGGCCATGGGCTCCCCAGAACCCGGCAGTCCTCTCCTTTGGGACCAGTTGAGCGTCTCCCTTATTCCACACACTCAGGGCCCCTTACTGCTTTCTTTACCCCCATATGGAATCCTGTGCCTCTTTATGGGCAGAAGGGCGGCCCCTGCCCTCATGTGACCTCCCTTCCCTCTCTGTGCCCAGCGTGGGGTCGTGTGGGAGGAGGTGCTTATCATGCTACCTGACCACGTTTCTATCATCCTTCTGAGTGCCACCGTCCCCAACGCCCTTGAGTTTGCTGACTGGATTGGGTGAGACGTGTGTCCCGGGTTGCCTGGGTGAAGGGGGCTACAGTACTCCTTGATTCGGGTGGGGGACTAAGTCTACCACAGCAAGGAGAGCGGTCAGGCCTTAGGGGTGATGCTGGGGAACATGTCCCACCTGGTGGCTGTGGGATCCCCTTTGGGTCCAGATTACTTTGCATGTTGAAATGGGATGAGATGTTGGGGGATAGCCTTCCATTCTGGGTCTCAGAAAAGACTGGGTAAAGTTGGAGGGGTAGGGAAGGGGGTGGGGATGTGGGTTCCTTCCCACGTTCCCACCCCTGACCTGCTTCCCTCTCCTTTCTTCAGGCGGCTGAAGCGTCGTCAGATCTATGTGATTAGCACTGTAACCCGCCCCGTGCCCCTGGAGCACTATCTTTTCACAGGGAACAGCTCCAAGACCCAGGGGGAGCTCTTTTTGTTGCTGGACTCCCGAGGAGCCTTCCATACAAAAGGGTAAGCCTCGAGATGGGGGAAAGAGTTAGGGCTGGGCCCCCAGCTGGACATTGTGGCTACCCCTCCCTGTGCCCCAGGTACTATGCAGCTGTGGAGGCCAAGAAGGAGAGAATGAGCAAACACGCCCAGACCTTTGGGGCCAAGCAGCCCACACATCAGGGGGGCCCTGCACAGGTGAGAACTGGGAGGGTTTTGTACCTGCCAGCACCTGTTTTTCCTCCTATCTTTTTTTTCCCCTTGTCCCCCAGGGGTTTTGACTTGAGCTTTGAGCACTGCCCCAGTTAACACTAGCTCACCTCTCATTGGTTCAGGAACTCAACCTCTGCTCCTTCCCCTTCCCCTTCCTTCTCCAGGACCGCGGAGTGTACCTGTCCCTCCTGGCCTCCCTCCGCACACGTGCCCAGTTGCCCGTGGTGGTGTTCACCTTCTCCCGGGGCCGCTGTGATGAGCAGGCCTCAGGCCTCACCTCCCTTGACCTCACCACCAGTTCGGAGAAGAGCGAGATCCACCTCTTCCTGCAGCGCTGCCTTGCTCGCCTCCGTGGCTCTGACCGCCAGCTGCCCCAGGTGCGTCTGTGTGCGTCTGTGTGCGTGCATGCACACATTTGGCAGACTGGTGGGGATAGGGTGTTCCGAGACTCCATCCCTGACCATGGGCCTCCTCCCACCAAAGGTCCTGCACATGTCAGAGCTCCTGAATCGCGGCCTGGGTGTGCACCATAGCGGCATCCTGCCCATCCTCAAGGAGATCGTGGAGATGCTCTTCAGCCGTGGCCTGGTCAAGGTGCATGTGGTGGTGGAAAGGGACTCCTCAGGGTGCTTGTTGCCCACTTAGGGGCTGCCCAGAGGGCAGAGGGGCAGAGGTTTAGGCAGGCCAGTGCTGTGGTTAAGAATCTGGGCTCTGGATTCAGACTACCTGGGTTTGAATCCCAGGTACACCATGTATTCACAGTATCATCCTGGACCAATTATTTAACCTTCCTGAACTTTAGGTTTCCCATCTTAAAATGGGGATGCATAAGATATGAATACGTAGGTCTCAGAAAAGAAACCCAGGAAGCTAGCAAGCATTCGAAAAGTTATTAGTAATCAGAAATATACAAATTGAAGTACTCACAAGATACGACTTTACAGCTATTAGACTGGTAAAATTTAGGAAACTAGTTCATGCCGAGTGTTGCCAGAGATATAGGAGGTTGTAGGGTTCTGGGAATCCTTTACGGGATGCCTAGCCAGTTTGGAATGCACGCTGGCACTATTTAGACAAAATAACTATATTGGCCGGGCATGGTGGCTCACACCTGTAATCCCAGCACTTTGGGAGGCTGAGGTGGGTGGATCACAAGGTCAAGAGATCGAGACCATCCTGGCCAACATGGTGAAACCCTGTCTCTACTAAAAATACAAAAATTAGCTGGGCATGGTGGCAGGTGCCTGTAGTCCCAGCTACTTGGGAGGCTGAGGCAGGAGAATTGCTTGAACCCAGGAGGCAGAGATTGCAGTGAGCCAAGATAGCACCGCTGCACTCCAGCCTGGGCAACAGAGGGAGACTCCATCTCAAAACAAAAACAAACAAAGAAACAAACAAAAACTATATCATACTCTGAGCTTATATTTCATTCCTGGGTATATATCACAAAGAAATTCTCACCCTGGTCTGTGAGAGAACATGTACACCCATCCTTTGTTTGTGGTGGCATGGTGTTGGTAGTACCAGGGTGCCCTTCACTGGGAGAGAGGGAAGGTTAGTGTGGGGGATGCACCCATAGAGTGTTCTGCAGCAGTTGGAAGCAGTGGGTTAGATGTGGCCACAGGAACATGGACAGATGTTGAAACACTAGGTGGAGAAAAAGAAGCAAAAAAAAATCAGATATATAACCACTTTTTATATGAATTATAAACTACAAGCTCACAAAAGAAGACATGTTCTATAAGATCATATTTATATAAAAAGATATTTGTTGGATACATTGGAATGATTGCAGTCAGGGATGGGAATGGGATATGAAGGTAAAAGTTAAGAAATAGAAATAAGTAGCTACATAAGTAAAATGAGGAAAACAATAATACCTGCCCTATAGATTTGCCTGGAGAGTTCAGTGAGATCCCATAAGTAACAACTGGGATGGTGCCTTATGCCTACAAAGTAAGGTGGGCTTGGCCAGGGCTGGGGGTGTGTGTACGTAGAGCCTTTGCTGATCCTTTCTGTTCTCCTCTGTCCCAGGTCTTGTTTGCCACAGAGACCTTTGCCATGGGAGTAAACATGCCTGCTCGTACAGTAGTGTTTGACTCCATGCGCAAACACGATGGCTCCACCTTCCGGGACCTGCTCCCTGGGGAGTATGTGCAGATGGCAGGCCGGGCAGGGCGGAGGGGCCTGGACCCCACAGGCACCGTTATCCTGCTCTGCAAGGGCCGAGTGCCCGAGATGGCAGACCTGCACCGCATGATGATGGTGAGCGGGCCAGCATGCTCGGCAGGGCCCCAGCTCCAGGACCTTGCTGGATTCTGTCTTCGATTCTCCTCTCTTCTTTTTCTTCTTCCTTTTTTTTTTGGAGACAGGGTCTTGCTCTGTTACCTAGGCTGGAGTGCAGTGGCACAATCTCGGGTCACCGCAACCTCTGCCTTCCAGGCTCAAGGGATCCTCCCACCTCAGCCTCCCAAGTAGGTGGGATTCCAGGCACATGCCACACAGGCCTGGCTAATTTTTTTTTTTTTTTTATGCTTTGTAGAGATGAGGTTTTGCTATGTTGCACAGGTTGGTCTTGAACTTCTGGGCTCAAGCAGTCTGTCTGCCTCAGCTTCCCAAAGTACTGGGATTATAGGTGTGGGCCACAGCGCCCAACTTCCTCCGACTTTTTTGTTTTGCCTGGGAGAAGCTGAGGTAGGAGTGAGTGAATCCAAGGATGAGATTGGAGCCCATCTCTTCCAGTTTTCTCCCATGTGAATATGGAGCTAGATGGGGCCTTTGAGTCCATTTATTTCAGTTTGCTCCCTTATGTTACAGAAGAGGTGAGCAAGTGGTTTGTCCAAGGCCCCATGGTTGCAGAGCTAGGACCGGATCTGACGGGAGTAGGCCCAGTCCAGAAGACTGGCTGGGGTTCAGTAGGTCCCACCCTGATCTCAGTGACTTCTGTGACCTGACTCCAGGGGAAGCCGTCCCAGCTGCAGTCCCAGTTCCGCCTCACGTACACTATGATCCTCAACTTGCTGCGAGTGGATGCCCTCAGGGTGGAGGACATGATGAAGAGGAGCTTCTCTGAGTTTCCCTCCCGCAAAGACAGCAAGGTAAGGAGCCTGGGGTAACCAGTGTGTGGAGCAGGAGGTTGGCCAAAGACAGGCTGGGAATAGGTAGGCATCCAGAGGCCAGTGTGTTGAGGGTGGGGAGTGTGACAGATTGGGCCTGGAGACTCCCCTTTCACAGCTTCCCCTGCTCCCACCCAAGGCCCATGAACAGGCCCTGGCTGAACTGACCAAGAGGCTGGGAGCTTTGGAGGAGCCTGACATGACTGGCCAACTGGTCGACCTGCCTGAATATTACAGCTGGGGGGAGGAACTGACAGAGACCCAGCACATGATCCAGGTGAGCAAGTGTGAGTGCTGAGGAGGTGATAGGAGAAGGGAAGAGAAGATCGTGTTACTCTAGGTGCTACTAAACTTAGTCCAAGTGTCTGTCCCTGTGATGCCTCCTCCCATCTGTCCTTTGCTCTTCAGCGACGCATCATGGAGTCTGTGAACGGGCTGAAGTCTCTCTCAGCAGGAAGGGTGGTGGTTGTGAAGAATCAGGAGCATCACAACGCATTGGGAGTGATCCTACAGGTGAGGGTGATGGGAATTTGGACTCCAGAGGGTGGGAGGGAGCAAGCCCTCTCTCCATTTTCCCCACTTGGCCAGGGCAGGTTGCGTCATCATAGGGCCCTCATTTTCCCCTCTTGCCCTCCTTTTCACCCTCTCCCTTCCCATCACCACATCATGCTCACTCCTTCCTCCCACCACCCCAAGAAGTCTGCTCTGATCGCTTGACTTGGTTGCCCCTCTCTACTGGTGAGCTCTGCATGGTTGCTTCCTGATTCCTGCCCAAGGGTGGGTATCTGGTCTCTGCCTTTGATGTCTACTCATCACACCCCCCTCTCCTGGCCTCTCTGACCACCCCCAGGTCTCCTCGAACTCCACCAGCAGAGTATTCACAACCCTGGTCTTGTGTGATAAGCCCTTGTCCCAGGACCCACAGGACAGGGGGCCAGCCACTGCAGAGGTGCCCTATCCAGATGACCTCGTGGGATTCAAGCTGTTCCTGCCTGAAGGTGAGAGTGTGGCAGATGTCTGTTTTCTGCCAGCAGTATAAGCAGGATGCCTGGGTCCATGGCAATGTCTGCCCTGCTCTCCCCTTTTCACAGGGCCTTGTGACCACACCGTGGTCAAGCTCCAGCCAGGAGATATGGCTGCCATCACCACCAAGGTGCTCCGGGTGAATGGGGAGAAGATCTTGGAGGACTTCAGCAAGAGGCAGCAGCCAAAATTCAAGTCAGAGATGCTAGGGAGGCCCTTCTCCTCCAGAGGGGCACGTAGAGGCAGGGAGGGGCAGTGGTCTGGGAGTTTCCTCCAGCCTGAGGGAGACCATGAAGTGGTGGGGTTGTAGTGAGGGGGCTCCCCCAGCCTAAGGGAGACTGTGAAGTGGAGGTTGTAGTAAGAGGGCTTCCACAGCCTGAGGGAGGCTTCTGGGGGAGAGAAGATCTTACCCCAGATCTTAAGATCTGCTCCCTCTTCAGGAAGGATCCTCCCCTTGCAGCCGTGACCACTGCTGTCCAGGAACTGCTGCGTCTGGCTCAGGCCCACCCAGCCGGACCTCCCACCCTCGACCCTGTCAATGACCTGCAGCTCAAAGATATGTCAGTTGTAGAGGGTGGGCTCCGGGCCCGGAAGCTGGAGGAGCTGATCCAGGGGGCTCAGTGTGTACACAGCCCCCGTTTTCCTGCCCAGGTAGGACCCTGGGTGGTAACTCCCAAGCTGGGAGTAGGGGCTTTTCCTCTGTGGTCCCCTGTAGACTGACCGCCCCCATCTCAGCCCTTGTCCTCAGTGCACCCCTGCTAAGGGGCAAGGAGAAGGCTGACGGGTGGCTCTCTGCAGTACCTGAAGCTGCGGGAGCGAATGCAGATACAGAAGGAGATGGAGCGGCTGCGCTTCCTACTGTCGGATCAGTCATTGCTGCTGCTTCCTGAGTACCATCAGCGAGTAGAGGTGGGTGGGGCAGTGGTTGGGGCAGGGGGGCTAGGGGACAGCAGTGTGTCCAATGCCCACCCTTTTTCTTGCAGGTGCTCCGAACCCTGGGTTACGTGGACGAGGCGGGCACTGTGAAGCTGGCAGGGCGGGTGGCTTGTGCCATGAGCAGCCATGAGTTGCTCCTCACTGAGCTCATGTTTGACAATGCACTGAGCACCCTGCGGCCTGAGGAGATTGCTGCCTTGCTCTCTGGCCTGGTCTGCCAGAGCCCTGGGGACGCTGGGGATCAGCTCCCAAACACCCTCAAGCAGGTAGGGGACACCACCCCTTTCTCCCTGCCAGGGCTGTGGCATTCCTGACCTTCACCTTCAGGTAGTCCCCCAGGTGACCCCCTCCAGCCCTGTAAGTGCCCCAAGGATGGAAAATGGCTGCCTTCTTGATCTGGTCCTTCCCTGTCCTGGAGCAGGAAGGCAGGCCTTAACCTCTCCTTCTTTCCTGCAGGGAATAGAACGTGTCCGGGCTGTGGCCAAGCGGATTGGTGAGGTCCAGGTGGCTTGTGGCCTGAACCAGACGGTGGAGGAATTTGTGGGGGAGCTGAATTTTGGGCTGGTTGAGGTTGTATATGAGTGGGCCCGGGGCATGGTGAGTACCTGAGGTTTGGGATTTTGCAGACGGCTGGCTGGGGAGAACCTGCCCAGGCTGAGTGCATCCAGTCCTCACCCTACTTTCCCCACAGCCCTTCTCCGAGTTGGCAGGGCTCTCAGGGACCCCTGAGGGCCTGGTGGTCCGCTGCATTCAGCGCCTGGCTGAGATGTGTCGCTCACTGCGGGGGGCAGCCCGCCTGGTAGGAGAGCCTGTGCTGGGTGCCAAGATGGAGACAGCGGCTACCTTGCTACGGCGGGACATCGTATTTGCGGCCAGCCTCTACACCCAGTGAATGCCCCATGTAAAAACATGATGATAAAACAGCAAAGCACTGTTGTGTGCTTGAGTTGCTGGACAGGGATGACTCAGCTAAGAAGACAGCGAGAGAACCTCTTAGAAATATGCTTTTATTATCTGCACACAGAGATATGACTGCCTCCCTCTAAAGCATTACTATTTGGGAGAGGGAGTCTTGGGGGGTGATGGGAGGTCCTGAGTCATAGCTTCCACATACCATATGGGCAGGAAGGCGTAAGGTGCATCTTGGTGTACAGACACGGTGACTGGGCCGCCAGGCTCCCAAGAGAAGAGATGAACGAGCCTGGGGGGCAGATGGAGGCATCAGTTGAGGGCCAGAGGCTGGATCCTGGGATCCAGAGGGGAGGTACAGAGCTGAATGCCTCACCTGGGGTCATCCTGGACAACCGTGCTCTGGGCAAAGCTAAGGAAGGCGGCACAGAAGTTCATGCACACAGAGGGATTCCAGCCGTCACGGTCATTCTGGAGCAGGCAGAGGAGGAGGCAGAAGATGGGCAGTGGGGGTGGTGGGAGGAGAGAAGGCAGGCTGTTGCCCTGGATGCTAGACCTGTGGTCTTGGTGTTTGGGGATACGGGTGGGAGCTGCAACGTCGTTCCCTTACCCTGACATATTCAAACATCTTCATGGTAGGAAAGGTCTTGAGGGAAGAGACAAAACCGTCTGGGTTACGGAAGCCAGCAACAACATTCGGGACCCCTGGGAGGAATGACTGAGCCCACCATTTCAGGAGCTTGTGTCTGACAGGAAAAGCAAGGGATCAGTGGGACCCCTCGTGCACCCTCCATTCTGCCTTCACCCTCCTCCCCAAGTCCCTTTCCCAGCCTTCAAGCCTAAGCTCTCGCCCTGCCCACCCCGATCCTGAACCTGTAGAAACTCCTCCATTGGCCAGGGCTGTGCATCTCCTTGGAGGTCTTGAGCTCCACATAGCAGGTTGGGGGCTGTGTGGATGGGGCTTGGGGGTCTGTGCAGTCTACCTCCCCTGAGAAGAGCAGAGGGTGGCTTCCCAGGCGGCTGCGTAGCACAGAGCAGAAGGCCACGTTGGTGTTAACCTCCCCAGAGGGGTCTGGGGAGCTTCCAGGTTTGTCTGCACAAGGAGAGAAGCAGCAGCAGGCGTGGGGGGCTCTCAACCTCTGGGAAGGGGAAGGGGGCTATGAAGCAGGGGCAACTCACCTGCACACATGTACTGCTCAAATTTGTATCCCATGTACATAAGCTCCCGGAGGAGCGGTGGCCGAGCAAGCCTCTGGGCCCGAGCGTTCGGTGTCTCCACTTCACTCAGGTATAGTGTTCCCTGGAACCGGGAGGCTGCCAGCTGCCAGCCCTCCTGCCGCTCATACGGTGTCGTCAGCAGTTTTGTCAGGTGCCCCCGCCACGTCACTATGGCCTCTGCCAGCCAGCCTGGACCCCTGAGAGGCAGGAGTTACAGGCTGAAGGTCTGACACAAGCATTAGTGAGATGCTCCCCTCGAAGAATAGTCTTGTTTCTTCTAAGGACTGATTCTCACCCCGGCTTTGGCTCTCCTAATTTTAGAGGGTAGGTACGGGTCTCCAGATATACTGCCTACCACGCTTTGCTCACCCCTCCAACCGGCCTCGGTGTTCCAGGAGCCAGCACAGCAGGTGGTCCAGCCTTTCCTGGACCTCCTCGTCCCGGGGCTGGTATCGATCCGGGTATCCGTCTCTGAGGTCAAAGTTGGGGCCTGGACCGTTAGTGGGGGGTGGGCTATAGTAGCGCAGGGCTCGGGCATCTCCATGGTACTGGCGTTGAGCATCCAGGGAGAAGCAGCCCAGTTCCGAAGGGCGCCGGTAGAAAGGAAAGGGCCCAGAGTAGAGGGCAGGGTCTGTGGGCAGAGAAGGTGCTGGACGAGGTAGTTTGTTCCGAGGCTCAGCTACCTCTGTCTTCTCAGCTCCTCTCTTGGTCCCCCTGGGATCCATGAGGTCCTAAGACAAGCAGGGGTACAGAGTTTCCATTCTACAGAGGAGGCCTGGAGAAGGATGACTGGTTTAGGACTAAGCGAGCCACCTGATCGCCAGGCTCTGGCCTTGAAACATTCAGGCCCCTCAGACGCCACCGCGGCCAAGCTCTCATCCTGCCTCTTTCCTTGCCCTTCACCCACCCTCCCTCCAGGTCCTCCAAATGCAGTGAGGTTAGGAAGGACGTCTGCGCTCAGATCAAGAATCCAGTTACCTCAAAGCTCCCCAACTTCCACCTCCGCAGAGCTATGACGTCATGGCAGGCACGCCAGAGGCCGAAGGATGCAAAAGTGGTTTTCTGCTTTCGATGATGCAATCATTCAGCGACAGTGGCGGGCAAACCCCTCCCGGGGCGGGGGAGGTGTGAGCTTCACGAAGGAGGTTGACACCAACGTGGCCACCGGCGCCCCTCCACGCCGCCAACGAGTCCCCGGGCGTGCGTGCCCTTGGAGGGAGCCAATCCGCGGCCGGCGTGGGGCCCGGCCTGGCGGAGGTGATGCTGGTATGTGCGTCGCCACCGCCCCTCCCAGCACTGACGGGCCTGAGGGACGACAAGTTGACGCTCCTTTCGTCATCACCTGGTCTAGGAGGGACGCCCGGGGAGACCGTACGTCACTGCTCTGCGCCGGAAGACCCTATTTTCAGGTTCTCTTCCCTCCATTCCTACCCCTTCCCCGGTACCATAAAATCCCGGGATATGAGCTGGAAGAGGCATCACCTGATCCCGGAGACCTTTGGAGTTAAGAGGCGGCGGAAGCGAGGGCCTGTGGAGTCGGATCCTCTTCGGGGTGAGCCAGGTAACCATGGCAACCCCGGGGGTGGGGCCTCGCTTCCGGTAGCCGAGAGTTTTGTTAGAACCGCGTCCCCGCCCCAGTTCCCTGTCCGTGAGCCGATTTATCTGCCCAGGGTCGGCGCGCGCGGCTGTCTCAGAACTCATGCAGCTGTTCCCGCGAGGCCTGTTTGAGGACGCGCTGCCGCCCATCGTGCTGAGGAGCCAGGTGTACAGCCTTGTGCCTGACAGGACCGTGGCCGACCGGCAGCTGGTGAGGGGCGTCGGTGCGACCGCCGGAAGCCCCTTTCCTAACTCCTGGAATTCCCTGTCACTCAGTCACTCCGCCAGCCGTTCAGCAAGCATTAGGCCTTTCAGGCGAGGGCACTGTGCCAGGCACTGGGGTGCCACAGAGACCCTGTTAAAAGTCCCGCAGGTAGTACAGGGCATTTCAAATCATGGAGGTAGAAGAACGAGGCTTTTGGGGAAACCGAGTCATGGGGCATGGTTCGAACATACAGCGCTGGGAGTGCAGTCAGACGTCAGATCATGACAGGCCTTGTACATCAGTGTTGTTTCCATCTTACACTGAGGCGATGGGCTGGTAGAGAATATCATAGAGAGAGGGAATGGTGTATTGGAGATAGTGGATGAGGCAGGGAGGTCAGCTAAGAAGATACTGCATCTGAGAAGTGGTGAAGGCCTAAATTAGGTCAGTGCAGTAGGGAGGGAGAGGAGAGTGAGGAAGAGGGAGGAGTCCAGGACAACTCAGACTTTCCAGATGACTGCGTGGCTGGTGGTATTAGGAGCACATTTAGTTGTTGGACTACAGATAATGTGTTTAATTTTATACAAGTTGAGTTGATGGTGCATGTGGAGCATCCAAAGACAAAGGTATTAGACAGTTGGATATGAGAGTTGGAGAGAATTCTGGGCCAGTGATAATAGAATTACAAGTCATGGAGGTGTGAATAGCAAGTGGTTAATTCTGTGATGTGGTGAGATCCAGTAGGAAGAGTGGGTAGAGGAGTGATTTCTAACCTTTTTGTAATCTTTAGAAGGTGATAAAAGCTATGGCTATCTCTCTCCAGAAAAATGCACGTTTGCCACATATACATAGGGTGTATGTATAGTTAGGGGGGAAATATTTTACTAATCCTGCGAGGTCCGTGGTTAAGGACTCCAGGTTTAGAGTGGAAGTTAATAGGGTCAAATCCACAATGCTGGGAAACACCATCATTTAAGGCAGTGTTACTGAATATATGAGCTGAGTTATTATGCCTGTGTCAAAATTACGTGGGCTGCTTGTTAAAAAAAATACAGGTTCCTGGGACTCATCCAAGGTTAATGAATTACGCTCTCTTGGGGCGGGATTTGGGACTCTACATTTTTGAACTGCCTCAAGTGCTTTTTAAGTGTGCCTTAAAATTTGAGATCCACTGACATAAAGGGAAAGCAGAAGAAGAGGAATCTGTGACAGAGGCAGAGAGGGACTTGCCTGAGTTAAGAGGAACCCAGAGGCCGGCGCGGTGGCTCACACCTGTAATCCCAGCACTTTGGGAGGCCGAGGTGGGTGGATCTCTTGAGCTCATGAGTTTGATACCAGCATGGGCAACATGACATAACCCCATCTCTACAAAAAATACAAAAATTAGCCAGGCGTGGTGGTACGCGCCTATAGAGCTACTGGGGAGGCTGAGGTGGGAGGATTGCTTGAGCTGGGGAGGCGGAGGTTGCAGTGAGCTGAGATAGCACCGCTGCACCCCACCCTGGGTGATAGAGCTAGACTTTGTCTCAAAAAAAAAAAAAAAAAAAGTAACCCAGGAAGAGGCCTACTGTGAAAGTAAAGAGATTTTTGAGAAAGTGAAGTAGTTGGCAGTATTAGAACCTGTGATTCAAGACAGTGGTCTAAGAAGAGGGAAGAGGTAAAGTAAAATATAAACTGAAATCTAGGCTGAGTGTGGTGGCTCATGCCTGTACTCCCACCACTTTGGGAGACTGAGGCAGGAGTATAGCTTGAAACCAAAAGTTTGAGACCAGCCTGGGCAACAAAGTGAGACCCCATCTTTACTAAATAACTGAGATCCCATCTCTACTAAATAAATAAATTAAAACACAAAAATTCTTAGCTGGGCATGGTGGTGTGCACCTATTGTTCTAGCTGTTTGGGAAGTTGAGGCAGAAGGAGTGCTTGAGCCCAGGAATTTGAGGCTGCAGTGAGCTATGATTGCACGACTGCACTCCAGGCTGGGTAACAGAGGGAGACCCTGTCTCTAAAAAAATGAAAACAACAACAAAAAAACCCAGAACTGAAATCTGTCCATTGGATTTAGCAGGTAGAAGGTTAATAGTGATCTTTCAAGAAAAGAGGAAAGAAAAGGAAGGCAGTCTAGCACTCACTTGAGGTGAGCTAGTCTCCCTGACTAGGTCTCCCGTGAGGAAGCATGCCAGATGGAACCACTCCTTAAGGAGTATTTGTTGATTTTAATGTATTGGTGTTAGCTTTTGTTTTTAAAAACCTTTAAAAGTTGCAGAATGAAAATATAAACATATATAATTTAAATGATGTTTATAAAGCAGATACCTATCTAGCCACTCCCTAGGTCAAACTATAGAATATGACCAGTATCCCACATATATCCCTCTCTGATCAAAATGTCTCTGATCAGAATGTCCCTGGGAGGTGACTGCTGTGGTCATTGTTGCCTTAGTTTTCCCTTTTTTTTTTTTTTTTTTGAGGTGGAGTGTCGCTCTGTTGCCCAGGCTGGAGTGCAGTGGTGTGATCTCAACTCACTGCAACCTCTGCCTCCTGGGTTCAAGCAATTCTCCTGCCTCACTGTCCTGATTAGCTGAGACTACAGGCACGCGCCACCATGCCCAGCTAATTTTGGTATTTTTAGTAGAGATGGGGGTTTCATCATGTTGGCCATAATGGTCTTGATCTCCTGACCTCGTGATCTGCCCTCCTCGGCCTCCCAAAGTGCTGGGATTACAGGCATGATCCACCGCACCCGGCCTAATTTTGTATTTTTATAGGGATGGGGTTTCACCCTGTTGGCCAGGCTGGTCTCAAACTCCTGACTCAGATGATCTGCCTGCCTCGGCCTCCCAAAGTGCTGTTTTTTTTTTTTTTAATTGTCTTTTTGATAATTCCACTATTTTTTTTTTTTTTTTGAAAAGTCTCCCATGTCTACCTCTTTCCACACAGACACGGCAACCATCCGATTTCTCAATCTTTTCCCCACCTTTTCCCGCTTTCTAGTCCACAAAACCACCATTGTCATCGTGGCCCGTTCTCAATGAGCTGTTGGGCACACCTCCCAGATGGGGTGGTGGCCGGGCAGAGGGGCTCCTCACTTCCCAGCAGGGGCGGCCGGGCAGAGGCGCCCCTCACCTCCCGGACAGGGCGGCTGGCCGGGCGGGGGGCTGACCCCCCCACCTCCCTCCCGGACGGGGCGGCTGGCCGGGCAGAGGGGCTCCTCACTTCCCAGTAGGGGCGGCCGGGCAGAGGCGCCCCTCACCTCCCGGACGAGGCGGCTGGCCGGGCGGGGGGGGCTGACCCCACCACCTCCCTCCCAGACGGGGCGGCTGGCCGGGTGGGGGGCTGACCCCCCACCTCCCTCCCGGACGGGGCGGCTGGCTGCGTGGGGGGCTGACCCCCCCACCTCCCTCCCGGACAGGGCGGCTGGCCGGGCAGAGGGGCTCCTCACTTCCCAGTAGGGGTGGCTGGGCAGGGGCGCCCCTCACCTCCCGGACGGGGTGGCTGGCCGGGCAGGTGGCTGACCCCCCCACCTCCCTCCTGGAGGGGGCGGCTGCCGGGCGGAGATGCTCCTCACTTCTCAGACGGGGCGGCTGCCGGGCGGAGGGTCTCCTCCCTTCTCAGACGGGGAGGCTGGGCAGAGACCCTCCTCACCTCCCAGACGGGGTCGCGGCCGGGCAGAGGCGCTCCTCACATCCCAGACGGGGCGGCGGGGCAAAGGCGCTCCCCACATCTCAGACGATGAGCGGCCGGGCAGAGACGCTCCTCACTTCCTAGATGGGATGGCGGCCGGGCAGAGACACTCCTCACTTTCCAGACTGGGCAGCCAGGCAGAGGGGCTCCTCACATCCCAGACGATGGGCGGCCAGGCAGAGACGCCCCTCACTTCCCAGACGGGGTGGCGGCCGGGCAGAGGCTGCACTCTGGGCACTTTGGGAGGCCAAGGCAGGCGGCTGGGAGGTGGAGGTTGTAGCAAGCCGAGATCCCGCCACTGCACTCCAGCCTGGGCACCATTGAGCACTGAGTGAACCAGACACCGTCTGCAATCGCGGCACCTCCGGAGGCCGAGGCTGGCGGATCACTCGCGGTTAGGAGCTGGAGACCAGCCCGGCCAACACAGCGAAACCCCGTCTCCACTAACAAAATACGAAAACCAGTCAGGCGTGGCGGCGCGCGCCTGCAATCGCAGGCACTCGGCAGGCTGAGGCAGGAGAGTCAGGCAGGGAGGTTGCAGTGAGCTGAGATGGCAGCAGTACAGTCCAGCTTCGGCTCGGCATCAGAGGGAGACCGTGGAAAGGATAATTCCACTATTACTTGTCTTTTGGGGTTTGTTTTTATTCTCTCTTTGAGTTTTGTTTCCTTATGCGCCCAGTTACTTTTGAAAATGTTCTGGGCAGATTTGCCTAGATTAATAAATGCCCTCCATGTTCCAATTACTTTTTTTTTTTTGAGACAGTGTCTTACCCTGTCACCAAGCTGGAGTGCAGTGGTATGATCTTGGCTCACTGCAACCTCTGCCTCCTGAGTTCAAGTGATTCTCCTGCCTCAGCCTCCCAAGTAGCTGGCATTACAGGCACCTGACACCACGCCCAGCTAATTTTTTTTTTTTTTTTTTTTTTGAGACGGAGTCTCGCTCTGTCACCCAGGCTGGAGTTCAGTGGCATGATCTTGGCTTACTGCAAGCTCTGCCTCCTGGGTTCACCCATTCTCCCGCCTCAGCCTCCCGAGTAGCTGGGACTACAGGTGCCCGCCACTATGCCTGGCTAATTGTTTTTTTTTTTGTATTTTTAGTAGAGATGGGGTTTCACCGTGTTAGCCAGGATGGTCTTGATCTCCGGACCTCGTGATCCACCCGTCTCAGCCTGCCAAAGTGCTGGGATTACAGGCATGAGCCACCGCATCTGGCCTATTTTTGTATTTTTAATGGAGACCGGGTTTCATCATGTTGGCCAGGCTGGTCTTGAACTTGAACTTCTGACCTCAAGTGATCCACCCTTAGCGTCCCAAAGTGCTGGGATTACAGGCATGAGCCACCGTGCCCGGCCCCAGTTATTTTTATTTTTATTTTTTGAGTTAGAGTCTCACTCTGTCACCCAGGCTGGAGCGCAGTGGCATGATCTCGGCTCACAGCAACTTTCTGGGTTCAAGCAGTTCTCCTGTGTCAGCCTCCTGAGTAGCTGGGACTACAGGCACACATCACCACGCCCGGCTAATTTTTGTAGTTTTAGTAGAGACGGGGTTTTACCATATTGGTCAGGCTGATATTGAACTCCTGACCTCAGGTGATCCACCCACGTCAGCCTCCCAAAGTGCCGGGATTACAGGCTTGAGCCATCTCGCCCGGCCTACTTAGATGTTATATTAGTGGTAATTCCTGTTATCCTGTGAGCTCTTTAGTGTCTAAACAATTTTTTTTAAGAGATGGGGTCTCACTGTGTTGCCCAGTTGCAATCATATCTTACTGCAGCCTCAAACTCCTGGGTCAAGTGATCCTCTTGCCTTAGTCTCCCAAGTAGCTAGGACCATAGGTGTCTGCCCCCACGCCTGGCTGTTTTTACATTTTTTGTAGAGATGTGGCGGGTGGGGGGGTCTCACTGTGTTGCCCAGACTGGTCTCGAACTCCTGTCCTCAATTGATCCTGCTACCTCAGCCTCCCAAAATGCTGAATTACAGGCATGAGCCACTGTACCTGGTCTTAAACAATTTTAAAATAACATTTTTATCCAGGATTTTAGTTAATTTTCAACAGGTGGATTAGTTCTTGCTGTATTCTCGTAAACAGAAGTCCTGGTTTATTTTTATTTGTTTTAAACATTGAATCCCATACTCCTCCCCACCTTACCCTACCCAGAATTTAGACTGTTAATGTTTTGAAGCCACAGCCTGCATCTTAATCACTATTTTATCTTAGTGCCTGGTCTTAGAAATTATATTGACTCTTTGATAGACCATATATAAGGCAGGTGGATGAGAATGTGGGTAGCTAGTTGGAAAAGGCTGCTTGGTCATTTGCTTGATTATTTTCTCACACAGTTTTTCCTTTACTAAGAGAAAATGCCCCCATATTGGCAAACAAAATCTCCCTGCCTGAGAGCGCCCAGAGTATAGCAGAGCATCTTACCCTGATACGCCTCTTTTCACTCTCTTCTCTGTGGAGACAGAAGGAGCTTCAAGAGCAGGGGGAGATCAGAATCGTCCAGCTGGGCTTCGACTTGGATGCCCATGGAATTATCTTCACTGAGGACTACAGGACCAGAGTATGTGACTGTGTGCGTCAGGGGTGCTGGGGGGAGGGCACAGGTTGGGGGAGACAGGGAAGTTGGGAAACAGAAATAAAAACAAAAGAAAGAATTTCCCTGCCCCCACATCCCATGGAGAGGGCACAGGGCCCTGGTAAATAGTAATATGAGGGAGAGAGACAGGAGGGAAAGAGGGAGGAGTGAGAGGGTAAAGAGGGGGGGAGAGGAGGGGGAGGAGGAGGAAGGAAGGAGGGGGAGGAGGAGGGGGGGAGGAAGAGGGGGAGGAGGATGAAGAGGAGGAGGAAGAAGAAGGGTATGAGAGGTGGAAGGATCTGAGCAAGAGGTAAGACAGGAAGAGAAATGCTGTCCTGGGGGTGGAGGTTGGTAGAGAGTGAGGGTGGGGATGGACCATGTCTCTCATCTCTGCTTGTAGGTCCTCAAGGCCTGTGATGGCCGACCGTATGCTGGGGCAGTGCAGAAATTTCTAGCTTCAGTACTTCCAGCCTGTGGGGACCTTAGTTTCCAGCAGGACCAAATGACACAGACCTTTGGCTTCAGGGACTCAGAAATCACGTGAGACTTGTGGAACCAACCAAAGTCAGGCATCTGGTGCTTCCCTGCCTCCCTCCAGTTCCATCCAGCCTGTCCTCCTGTTTTTTTGGTGAACCTGCCAGAAAAGCTGCCAAAAAGCTGACTCTTCTTTTTAATAAAATGACCCAAGTTTGTATTCCTCCCCACAAGAGAGGAGGCCTATCTTACCTGGGCCTTAGAAAGAGCCCTGAAATAGAATTCAGTTCTTGGTGGCTTATCAAAAGCACACAGGGGCCTGGCAGGAAGTGTAAAAGCTTGATGTTAATCATACTGGGACTAAGAGGATAGAGAATGGTAGGAGCTGGGATACCCCTAAACATTCACATTAAAACAAAAAAAACCCAAAGCTAAAAAACAACTGGGCAGGAGCTAAATAAAAATCTAATTTTGAGAGGCTGTATCTGGCTCAGGCCTCCTACTTTGTAACCCATGGAATATGTGAAAGCATTTGAAAAACTATAGCACTGATCTCACATGGGCAGACACACTCTCAGAGAGATGTGGTGGGAGCCATGGCGCAGTCTGCCTAGGCAGTGGCAGGAGCGCAGAAGACTCTGATTCCTCTCCTCGGTCCTAAGACCGAATGTGTGTCAGGACATGTGGTCAGGGAAGAGAAGCTATTTAACTGAACCAGTAATAGTAGCAGGAAAAGAAAAAGTGGAGGGAGGGCAGTCCAGGTAGGGGGCCTGGAACAAGCAACTGCACCAACAGAGGCAGTTGGTGCGAGCACAGAACCACCCCAGGCTGGGATTTTGTTATCCAGTCTCTCTTGCATGGTTGCCCGTGTTTCTGGAGACTTGTGTAAACATTAATGGATGAGGAGGAGAGATGGTTCTCAGAGCCCAGCCCTCATCTCTGCTGGCTTCCCACTGCCCTCAGGCATCTGGTGAATGCTGGAGTCCTCACCGTCCGAGATGCTGGGAGCTGGTGGCTAGCTGTGCCTGGAGCTGGGAGATTCATCAAGTACTTTGTTAAAGGTATCCCATCTGCAGCTCAAGCCTGC
The DNA here is from genome assembly GCF_000001405.40 of Homo sapiens. Taxonomy (NCBI): domain Eukaryota; kingdom Metazoa; phylum Chordata; class Mammalia; order Primates; family Hominidae; genus Homo; species Homo sapiens. Next base: position 3,236,546 of record NT_167248.2, read on the forward strand.
AGCCCCTCACCTTTTGGTGGCTCCTCAGGCCTCTAGGCCTTATTCACCTTTCCCCTTTCCTGTGCCACTTCTCCTCTAGGGCGCCAGGCTGTCCTTGGCATGGTCCGGAAGGCAAAGTACCGGGAACTGCTCCTATCAGAGCTCCTGGGCCGGCGGGCGCCTGTCGTGGTGCGGCTTGGCCTCACCTACCATGTGCACGACCTCATTGGGGCCCAGCTAGTGGACTGGTGAGTCTTTCCCTGGCCTCTGGCAGATTATGGAGCAATGACCCAAAGTGGGATTTCCTCCCAGCTCATGCTTAGTTTCCTAGTGAAGGCCAGTGGCTCTCATTCTTCTCTGGAACCCGGGAGCACCCCTTCCCAAGTTCTAAGTTCTCCTCACAGCTTGAGCCTAGGCGTCTGGCTCCAGCCTTGTCTTTCTCCTGCACAGCATCTCTACCACTTCAGGAACCCTCCTCCGCCTGCCAGAGACATGAAGATTCTGCTCATCATTGCTCAGCTCCTCAGAGTGGGCCGGGAGGGGACTAGAAGAGCTGCATGATGGTGGCTGAGACAGGGTCACCTTGGGAAGGCTTGGGAGCCAGGATGAGTGTCGGGCTCTCGTGTGTGCAAAAGGTCAGATGTGACTGCTGCTGTTTGCCTGGTTTCTGACCCAGTGGTGGGGTTTGAGCAATGCTTCTCTGCCCTTCCATGGAAAGTGGAACCAGAAATGGTGCCAAGGCTGTGGCTGTTCCCTTTCGTGTAAAATGGTGCTGTTATTACTCTGTCTTGAAATAGGAAGGTGGGATTTCTGGGGAGGCTGGTGAAGGAGGGCAGGGTTCTTTTCTCTACGTGTCATGTTAAAATTGCCAAATAAAGTACCTCTGCCTGTGATATTTTCTGGATGTCCTTTATTTACTGTGACGTGTGTTTGGGTGCCTTGTTTAGGGGTAGAGGTGAAGTCTGAGCTTTGCCTCATTCAGAGAGGAAAGGGGTCAGGGGTTCACTCTGACGTTCAGGCCATTCTCCCTGTGGAGTGGTGAGGGTGTACCTAATCTCCTAAACCACGGAATTTCTGTTAGGGCCTAAAAAAGCAAAAGCCTAGTATAGTTCAATTTGTGTTGGAATGAAAGTAAGAGACAAGTGTCTTAGAAGCCTGTCATTGTTTTGTGAGGGCCTTTAAATATCCTGTACTCGTGGGCCATGTTGGGCCCTTGTACGCCCAGGTATACATGAGCTTGTGTGCACCTATACCCTGATACAGATATACCTGGTAGGGGGAGGTGCTCAGGCACTGGAATGAGAGGAGTTAACGGGGAAGGACAGGGTTATTTCTGGGCCAAGATTCAGAGTTTCCCATGGACACCCAGGTGTCCGGGGTGCCCCCACAACTCTGGGCCTGAGGCCAGTTGCACTTCTTGGCTGTCACGTGGTTTCCCAGCTTAGCTGGGCTGGGGGAGGAGCAAGGTCCAGAGTCAACTCTGCCCCGAGGCCTAGCTTGGCCAGAAGGTAGCAGACAGACAGACGGATCTAACCTCTCTTGGATCCTCCAGCCATGAGGCTGCTCTGGGGGCTGATCTGGGCATCCAGCTTCTTCACCTTATCTCTGCAGAAGCCCAGGTCCTGGAGGCGGGATGCTGGGTGCTTGGATTGGGGCAGGGCTGGCATCGGGACCCGATTCAGGAGTGAGGGAGAGCAGGGGTGGAGGTGTCAGAGCGAAGTCTGACTGCTGATCCTGTCTGTTCTCCCCAGGTTGCTCTTGTTCTCTCCTTCTGTGGTTCATCTGGGGGTCCCCCTATCGGTGGGGGTGCAGCTCCAGGATGTGCCCCGAGGACAGGTAGTGAAAGGATCAGTGTTCCTGAGAAACCCATCTCGTAATAATGTCCCCTGCTCCCCAAAGGTGGACTTCACCCTTAGCTCAGAAAGAGACTTCGCACTCCTCAGTCTCCAGGTAACCAGACCCCATGCCCTCCTGCTGCTTGTGGGGGCCTCCTGCCCTGTTCCCATCTGTCTTGTAAGTGTCATCATCTTCCCACTGGCCTCCTCCCCTCCTGTCTTCCCACCCTGGCATTCTCCTTCCACGTTTCTCCCTTGGTCTCTGTCCTTTTTGGTCAGCTGTCTCTTGCTCTGTGACCCGCTCCCTCTCCCTCTCCCTCTCCTGACAGGTGCCCTTGAAAGATGCGAAGAGCTGTGGCCTCCATCAACTCCTCAGAGGCCCTGAGGTCCAGCTGGTGGCCCATTCGCCATGGCTAAAGGACTCTCTGTCCAGAACGACAAACATCCAGGGTATCAACCTGCTCTTCTCCTCTCGCCGGGGGCACCTCTTTTTGCAGACGGACCAGCCCATTTACAACCCTGGCCAGCGGGGTGAGTCTCAGCCCCAGGGCCTCAACCTTTAACCCCCTCCGAGCCCTCTCAGGATGAGTTTGGTGCCCCCTAAGTGAGATAACCTGAAAGAAAGTGCCACACAGAAGGGGTGCTTAGGAAACATTTGTCCCCTGCTCCCTCTGTGGAGTTTGACCCACCCTCCCCTTGCACATGGACCCCTGCTCACCTCTCTCCTCCTCCACTCCCAGTTCGGTACCGGGTCTTTGCTCTGGATCAGAAGATGCGCCCGAGCACTGACACCATCACAGTCATGGTGGAGGTGAGTCCCCGACCTCTGGCCTTCCTGATCCTGGCCACTGATGTGACCTCCTGCCTGTGAGCACTTCTCCCCTTGCAGAACTCTCACGGCCTCCGCGTGCGGAAGAAGGAGGTGTACATGCCCTCGTCCATCTTCCAGGATGACTTTGTGATCCCAGACATCTCAGAGTGAGCGCTCCCAATGTGGGGGCTGCCCCCAAGCTACACCACCCCAATTCCTGTTAGGCTCTCCACCTCCCACACAGAGGCACGTCCCCAGATGCCCTGACCCTCAGCCTCCTGAGCCTCTGGTTAACCCCCACAGTCCTCTTCCCAGGGAAGCAGGCTGCTGGCTCTCCGTGCCCCACTGTACAGATGGGCTGAGCCCCTTCCTTGTCCATTCTCAGGCCAGGGACCTGGAAGATCTCAGCCCGATTCTCAGATGGCCTGGAATCCAACAGCAGCACCCAGTTTGAGGTGAAGAAATATGGTGAGAGCTGGAAACTGGAGGGACAGGCAGCTGCTTTCCTGAAGGAAATAAGGGTGGAAGGAGAGGTACTGGGAGCAGCTCAGGGCAGGGAGATATGGGTGCCACAGCCCTGAGCAGAGGGGAGTCTTTGAGCTGGAGTCTGACCTGCCTATCCCTTCACCCTGGGTCAGTCCTTCCCAACTTTGAGGTGAAGATCACCCCTGGAAAGCCCTACATCCTGACGGTGCCAGGCCATCTTGATGAAATGCAGTTAGACATCCAGGCCAGGTAATACCTCCCTCCCCACCTCTGCCCACCAGCACCGGGTCCTGCTCCCTACTCAGTATGAATGGGCTCCTGCTTCCCTGCCCTCGGGCCATTATTCCCCCCAGCCCTTGGCCCACCCTCTTCTCTCTGCCACGACAGGTACATCTATGGGAAGCCAGTGCAGGGGGTGGCATATGTGCGCTTTGGGCTCCTAGATGAGGATGGTAAGAAGACTTTCTTTCGGGGGCTGGAGAGTCAGACCAAGGTAGGAAGGAGAATAGGGGCTGGGGAGGGGAAGGGGCAAGGGAGGTGAGGTGGGAGACTCAGTCTCACCCTATGTCCTGTTTCTTTCTATGCCCCAGCTGGTGAATGGACAGAGCCACATTTCCCTCTCAAAGGCAGAGTTCCAGGACGCCCTGGAGAAGCTGAATATGGGCATTACTGACCTCCAGGGGCTGCGCCTCTACGTTGCTGCAGCCATCATTGAGTCTCCAGGTGGGTGACTTTCCCTTATTGTAACCCCAGACCCTTGCCTCTGACCTCTGAGCTAACCCTCTGTCCTCCGGCACCAACACCACCCCACTTCTCACATCTCATCTCAGACTCAAAACCAGGAAACACCCAGGAGACCTGGTTTCTCTCCAACTCTGTCTCTGTGACTCGGCCCTTTTCCCTGGCTGAGTTTATTTATTTCTTTGCTCGTTCTGCTCATTCCTTCACTCCTCCAGTGGACATGTGTTGTTCAATGCCCCGTGCTAGGCCTCAGCATGCACAGACATGTTGGGGACCAGCCTCAACGCCACCCGTAGGGTTCCTGAAGTCCATTGGTGACACAGGAATGAGAAGAGACAGGTTAAGAGTTCATAAAGAGTGGGGGCCAGGGGGCCAATTGCAAAATGGAGGCTGCAAAAGGCTCAGAGCTCTGGTCTCCACACTATTTTTTGAGTACAGTCACTCAGATCTAAGAAGCAGATGTTCAGGGAGAAACAGTGAAAGGGAGGCAGTGGGTCATAGGCGTAATCTATAGCAATAGAGTTTTAAATGAATCTCCTTTGTGCTCAAACAGCATGTCTTTAAATTATCGGAGAGTAGCTGGTGGAAGTGGGCTTAGCTAGAAGACTGCATGTCTGTCCAATGCTTCAAAGGAGGGTCTTTCTCCTTGAACAGAGTGTTTACAGATAAGACAGGGGGTCTCACTCTGAGCATGGGAACATGATGGCAATTAGGAGGCTTTTCTTCTCAGAGGCCTCTTGTGGCTTTCCACAACTTATTGTCTCATATTTTTATGGACAGTTTATACAGGCACCCCACAAGTCCTTTTCCCAACATGCCCCCCTCCCTTTTTTTTTTTTTTAACCGCTATTGCTATTATGGCTTATTTGTGGTGTTTGGTCTGTTTTCAGAAGTGTCTTTTGCATCTGTAGACTAAAAGTAAACAGCATAAACAGATACACATTAAAGTAAAATTTGTAATAGTTGATCCTTTAATGGTCTTAATCTGTTTAAGAGGATTTATGTTTGAAAGTCCGTCAGTAGCTCCAATGAGAATGTCAGTCTCAGGCAGGAGGGTTAAATGAGCCTGAGATGCTTTAAAAACCTGTTTTTTTAAAATTTGGTTATATTTAATGTTAAATTTTTATTTTTTTCTTTTAGATGATGTCTAACTTTTTAAAAATGATGTTTAGTAGTATTATACGAATGGGGAGTTATGTAGAAATTGGAAGTATTTCAATTACATTGTACTTCTAATTGATGTTTTAAGTTTATTGTACGATCTTCCATTTAAATAACAGTCTGTCTAAGATCATTTGTTTGATTTGTCAATTGTTGGTCTATTTGGGTCTGAGAATTCCACAATTTTGAGGAATTTTTTGTTAACTATTTATATATTTTGTAGTTTGAACAGAGGAGTGTAAAGCAATTCCAGCAGCCGCAGCAGTAGCTGTGACTGCAATAAGGCCCATAAGACTGTTATAAGGGTAAAAATAAATCTCTTTGTTTTGGTAAACACTTTTTTTTAAAACATTTTTGTGACAATATGAATGGAAGGAGAGGCTTTCTAAGGTCTATTGAGGGAAACCAGTATCCAAACTCCTTTCTTAGTTTTTATCAGTAACACAGATGTTTTTACACCGAACGTGGAATTAATACAGGTGAAAAGGTGACAGTTTTGACAAGTAATAGTTTGAGAATTAGGTCGAATGTCAATATTTTTGACCATTAACATAAAAGGAGGGTTGACACAACTCTGAATGGGCACTGTTTTGTTGGAAGAAAACTGATACGCAAATTGAAGTTTTTAACCTTTTTTTTTTAAAGATAATATATTTTTTTCTAAACTTAAATATGAGATTGGGCCATTATTAACTTTCATAATTTGGAGTGTTTAGGGCCTATTATTGGATTAATTATTTTGGGATGTGGGCCAGCTGTACTAAAATTGGTCCAAATTATGGGAAAATGAGCACGTTTTTCAGTGTAAGTAGTGTTACCTTTTTGATAGTATAGTTTCTGTTTTAGTTTTGTCTTGTATTTATTATTTTGATGGGTACAATTAACTGTAAAGGTCCCCTCAGGGGACCAATTAATGACAATTTCATAGGAATTATTTTGTAGTACCATAGTGTGATCAGAGATGTAATTTTTTTTAATTAATATTTTTAAATTATTTGACCATTGTTAAGGTTGTTGGCACCTCTTTTTTGGGGGCTTAAACTGTTAATTGAATTGAACTCTGTGAATGATCCGGGCTCCATCCAGAAAATAAATGATAGGATACTGGTCTTTGATTATGACCTGGAATTTTAACTAGTCAATGTTGTCGGTAGCCTTTTAGGCAACCGATAGTTGGCCTTATGTAAAGAGGGGGGAACTGATAACCTATGGACACATTTATTAACTTTTTTTTTTTTCCTTTGGGTGAGAGGGCCCATGAGTATTTGTAGGCTTAGGGATCCAAACGCTATTATTAACATAAACTTCAACTGGGGGTTTTAACCATGTGACAGGCCTAATTAAAGGCAGGAATGGGACACATGCCCAATAGGTATAATTTTGGGCTGTTGTAGCCACAGGTTTGTTAGGCGAGGAGGTCACTGTTTTTATTTTGGCTTTGTATTCTAGGATTAGTAAATAACAGAAGACAAACATGAGTATAATTAGTAACTTTTTTTTTTAGTAAAAGAGTGACCTGTAGTGTTACTTGGCATCTTAGTTTACTATATGTTATTAATGAGGAACCCCACTGGGGGTATGTTAATTTATTCTAGCTAAGCAGTTATGTTATTAGAAGCTGAGAAGGGGGTGTTTGTTAAAGTAACAGGGCAGAAGAAAGGCGGATTTAAGATACGAGCTTAATACAGTGTAGCAGGTATAGGTAGTAGGCAAAGTGAGAGAATTAAAAATGAATAAATTATTTGGCTTAGACTTTTGTTTTTTTAGTATAATGTCTGAGGCCTGTGTTGTTTGTGGAAGTCGCATTGTTGAGGCTGTAGTTCCTGTAGGGTCTTTTTTAGGCTGGTTCAAATGTTTTTTTATTTTTTAATTTTTTATCCTTTGATGAGGATGTAGTCTTTAGGCTGGTACTGGAAATTTTAGGAGTGGCGTCTGTGTTAAGAGACTTTTTACAATTTTTAAAGAGCAGGTTAGTGTTTTAAGAAAAACTTGTGTTTTATTTTAATGTTTAGTTTATAGAAAACTGGATGATATCTTTTTAACTTTAGTAAATACGTTTACACACGGAATTTTTTACAATTATCATTTTAAAACTTGTTTAGATCTTTAAAACAAAATTAAACAACCTTTTTTGTATAAATTTTTTATAACTTTTTTTATGACTTTTACAGACAATTTTTAACATGTCTTAACTTTTTATGTTTTATAATTTTTTTACTAAAGGTACATTTTTATAACTTTTTAAATTTTTTTACTTTTTTGTATTTTTTTGATTTTTGTCTTAGTCTTTTTTTTACTTTTATTTTTTTAAATGTGTAATAATTAGATGAGTGTTGGTAACAATGGATGTATGTACATATTTTAGTTTTTAAAATTTAGGGATGTGTTTAACATCTGTTTGCCAGAACTGACTAGGTTCCAATTCTTTACGGTTAACACCTATTGAAGGAGGGTATGTGCCTGTGAGCTGGTAATCTGGGCATTGTGGGATAATTTGTTTAGCCAGCCTCTGTGTAAGTTGAAATTATTTAGATAAGTTTCTCCAATTTTGGTGGAATAATCGATGTGATTGGGTGGCTTGGTCAAGCAGTGATGTCATAACCTGAAGGTCTGCTTGATTATTGCCGTAAGCCAATGGGCCAGGCAGAGAGCTGTGGGCTCGAATGTGTGTAATAAAAGTAGGATGTGTACCTTGGTCTAGTAATTGTTGAAGTTGAAGAAAAAGACCACACAGAGTGGGCTCCAGAGCAAACTTAAGGCTGTAATAGTTTTTAAATAAATACACAGAATAACCTTAGCTCTCTGAATGTTAGTAAATTCAGATCAAGTGATTGGATTATGTGGTCTCCACCAGACTGTTGCTTTTTCATGTTTACCAGACCCACCAGTAAAAACAGCTATGGCTCCTTCCAAAGGGGCATCACAAGTAATTTTTGGAAGAACCTATGTAGTTAATTTTAAGAATTGAAAAGTTTTTAGGATAATGATTATTAATACATCCAACAAATTTTGTTAAATTAATCTGTCATGTAACTGAGTTAATAAATGCCTGTTTAACCTGATTTTTATTTATTGGAACTATAATTTTTATTGGGCTCAGTGCCACAAAGTTTAATAATTCATATATGAGCCTGTCCAATTAGAATTGCCATCTGATTTAAGTATACTGTAAGTGCTTTTATGGTATTATGTGGCAAAAAGGACCATTTAACTAAATCATCATTTTGAACAATAACCCCCATTATTGTGTGGTTAGTGTGAAGTAGGGAACACAATGAATTATAAAGGCAAGTCTGAGTCAATCCTACTGACCTGGGCTTGCTGAATTTTGTTTTCAATTACTGATAACTCTTTCATGGCCTCGGGTGTTAGTTCTCTGTTACTGCGTAAGTTGGTATTTCCCCTCAATATTGAGAAGAGATTAGACATAGCATAAGTAGGAATTGCTAAATTGGGCCAAATCCAATTAATATCTTCTAACAATTTTTGAAAATTATTTAAGGTTTTGAAAGAATCTCTTCTAATTTGAACCTTTTGAGGCTTAATGGCTCTATCCTGTACTTGTATTTTCAAATACTGAAAAGGAGTGGTTGTTTGAATTTTGTCAGGTGCTATAAGTAATTCAGCATTTGTAATTGTCTTTTGCAAAGATTAATAATATTGAATAAGTTGGTCTCTACTTTTTGCTGCACAAATCTGGAAACTGATCTCTAACAGGCTGGATAGTTCTGCCTACAAAAGTTTGACAAACTGTGGGACTATTTAACATACCCTGGGGCAAAACTTTCCAATGATATTTGGCTGCAGGTTTTTTGTTATTAACGGCAGGAATGGTAAAGGCAAATTTTTTGAAATCTGCCTCTGCTAAAGGAATTGTAAAAAAGCAGTCTTTTAAATCTATAATAACAAGCGGTCAGTCTTTAGGGAGCACAGTGGGGGATGGGAGCCCAGGTTGTAAGGCTCCCATCGGTTGAATTACAGCGTTGACGCCATCTACCGGACTTTTTCTTAATTACAAATACTGGGGAATTCCAAGGAGAGAAAGTGGGTGAAATATATCCTTTTTTTAGTAGTTTATTTTATAAAGCACCCCCAACTTTTCCTTAGGGAGCGGCCACTGTTCAACCCAGACGGGGCGCCGGGTCATCCATTTTAAGGGAAATTGCTCCTTCACTGTAATAACTGTAGGGTGAACCTGAATTGCCCCATCTCCATAATGAACTGTGGGTCGGGCAATAATGGGCACGGTGAGCCAAGTCTCGGGCTCCCTCCCCCTGCACCCACTCGGCTGAGGAGGAGGTGGCCATTCTGGACATTTCTCTACAGGAACCGTGGGCTGAACAATTTTTTGAGTAGGTTTAGGGAGACTGGGGAGATTGGCATAAATCATCTTCAGACTCTCCTTTTTGTTAGTACTCGGTAGAGGTGGTTCAGAGTTCTGATTATCAAACTCCTCTCTCTCCTCCTCTGACTCAGCCTCATTATCTGTCTGAAAAGGCTCCAGTGCTGCATGCACCAATGACCAAAGCGACCAAACAGGCAAAGGAATTTCCTTTCCTTCTCTATATGCTCTTTTAAGGTCCTTTCCAACTCCTTCTTAATGTTTTAATTTCAAAGTTTCCTGTTTTGGGAACCAAGGGCAAAATTGTTCCATAGCATGAAACAAATCCATAAGATTTTCCGTATCAACTTTTACCCCACCATGCATGCTTGAAGAGCTGCCGTAGGAAGCTCAAATACGTGGTGTACTTACTTTCAGTTTTTCCCATTGTGTCCCTAGCTTTCTCTGGGCGCCCCGCTTACCTGTAGAGGTTAAAACTTTTATGTCCTTGGGAGTCCTTTGTTCGTTGGTCCTCTGTTTCACATGCTTGAGCGTTTCCTCACCAGATTCTTTTGGGCCCCACGTTGGGCGCCAGAATGTTGGGGACCAGCCTCAACACCACCTGTAGGGTACCTGAAGTCTGGTGGTGACAAAGGAATGAGAAGAGACAGGTTAAGAGTTCATAAAGAGTGGAGGCCAGGGGGCCAATTGCAAAATGGAGGCTGCAAAAGGCTCAGAGCTCTGGTCTCCACACTATTTATTGAGTACAATAACTTAGATCTAAGAAGCAGATGTTCAGGGCAAAACAGTGAAAGGGTAGCAGTGCGTCACAGGCATAATCTACAGCAGAAGCGCTTTAAATGAATCTCCTTTGTGCTCAAACAGCATATCTTTAACTTATCGGAGAGTAGCTAGTGGGAGTGGGCTTAACTAGGAGCCTGCACGTCTGTCCACATTCCAATGCTTCAAAGGAGGGTCTTTCTCCTTGAATACAGTGTTTACAGATAAGAGAGAGCAGGTCTCGCTCTGAGCATGGCAATTAGGAGGCTTTTCTCCTCAGAGGCCTCTTGTGGCTTTCCACAACTTATTGTCCCATATTTTTATGGCCAGTTTATACAGGCACCCCACAAGTCCTTTTCCCAACACAGACAGGAATACGGCAGCCTGTGCCCTGGGAGCTCACTGTCTTGTGGGAGGGAACCACTCAAGCCACTCCCCACTTGTCCTCCTGTCCCTCTCTTCTTGGGCTCTGTCCCCCACCTCTCTCTGTCCTTTGTCTTGCAGGTGGGGAGATGGAGGAGGCAGAGCTCACATCCTGGTATTTTGTGTCATCTCCCTTCTCCTTGGATCTTAGCAAGACCAAGCGACACCTTGTGCCTGGGGCCCCCTTCCTGCTGCAGGTTTCTTCCAGAGGGGAAGGATGAGTAGGGAGGATGTGGTAGTTAGGAGGGCTCAGGGTCTGACCACTCTCTTTTGCCTGCCCTCCTTTACCTGCCTAGGCCTTGGTCCGTGAGATGTCAGGCTCCCCAGCTTCTGGCATTCCTGTCAAAGTTTCTGCCACGGTGTCTTCTCCTGGGTCTGTTCCTGAAGTCCAGGACATTCAGCAAAACACAGACGGGAGCGGCCAAGTCAGCATTCCAATAATTATCCCTCAGACCATCTCAGAGCTGCAGCTCTCAGTAGGACTCCTCGGACCCCTGGGAGATGGTGGGGGAAGGGGAGGAGGGTGAGCTGGGGTCCCAAGGATCCATGGCCTGACTTGGGGGGAAGGTGGGGTACTTGGCTCTGAGCTACTACCCTATTCGCACCTGACCCCCTCTCCAGGTATCTGCAGGCTCCCCACATCCAGCGATAGCCAGGCTCACTGTGGCAGCCCCACCTTCAGGAGGCCCCGGGTTTCTGTCTATTGAGCGGCCGGATTCTCGACCTCCTCGTGTTGGGGACACTCTGAACCTGAACTTGCGAGCCGTGGGCAGTGGGGCCACCTTTTCTCATTACTACTACATGGTGTGCATGAGCTGGGGAGTCACGGAGGGCTGGGGTGCAGGGAAGAGCCCTCTGGGTGGGGCTGGGGGGGTTCAAGGCTGAGGCTGTCCCATGAAGAGGCAACCACTCTTGTCCCTCCCATTCTTGGCCCAGATCCTATCCCGAGGGCAGATCGTGTTCATGAATCGAGAGCCCAAGAGGACCCTGACCTCGGTCTCGGTGTTTGTGGACCATCACCTGGCACCCTCCTTCTACTTTGTGGCCTTCTACTACCATGGAGACCACCCAGTGGCCAACTCCCTGCGAGTGGATGTCCAGGCTGGGGCCTGCGAGGGCAAGGTGACCGGGGTCAGGAGAGATGGCACTTGTGCCGAGGGGGTTGAGGACAGGGTGATTGCCAACAGGGCATGGATTTAGCTTGGGGGCAGTGAGGATACCGGGACTGAAGGAAGCTCTCCCACTCTGACCGCCCCCACCTGCCGCCCCTGCCAGCTGGAGCTCAGCGTGGACGGTGCCAAGCAGTACCGGAACGGGGAGTCCGTGAAGCTCCACTTAGAAACCGACTCCCTAGCCCTGGTGGCGCTGGGAGCCTTGGACACAGCTCTGTATGCTGCAGGCAGCAAGTCCCACAAGCCCCTCAACATGGGCAAGGTTTGTCCAGACCCTCTCCACAGCTCTCTCACCCCTCCATGGCTCATCCCCCTGCTTCCCTGAGCCTTGGGCGCAGCCCCTGGATCCCACTGAGGCTCCCCACAGTCTCTTCCCCACTTGGCCCTGTGGTCTCCATCTCCTGGCTCTGTATCCTTTCCTATCCCCCCATGTGCTGCCCTCTCACCTGTGCCGAGTGCTCAGTCCTGCCCCTCAGCCACACTTGGCTCCTAGCATTCCTGCCTTTCTTGCAGGTCTTTGAAGCTATGAACAGCTATGACCTCGGCTGTGGTCCTGGGGGTGGGGACAGTGCCCTTCAGGTGTTCCAGGCAGCGGGCCTGGCCTTTTCTGATGGAGACCAGTGGACCTTATCCAGAAAGAGTGAGAACAGAGAAGGAAGGGGAGTGGGTGGCGGGAAGATAAGGAAGGAGGAAGGGCCTGAGGGGACCAGCTGGAAGAGTCCGGGCAGGAAGGGCTGGGCAGGGGAAGGGGAGGAGGGGAGGAGGCCGAGTGCCTGACGGCTGGACTGCAGCCTTTCTCTCTACCAGGACTAAGCTGTCCCAAGGAGAAGACAACCCGGAAAAAGAGAAACGTGAACTTCCAAAAGGCGATTAATGAGAAATGTGAGTTGCGGGTGCCTAGGCAGTAGCTTGGGCTCTCCACCTGGGATCCGGGTTGGGGGTCTGCCTCTCTGCCCCTCGGCTCCTTGCTGAACCCACGTGTGGTATTTGGGGCCAGAGATCCGAATTCCGGGATTACGAGTGGAAGGTGGGCAGCTCTCTCCAGCAGCCTCTCTTATGTTGCTGGTCTCAAGGGGTCGGGGCGGGGGCTGAGGTGTATGTCCTTTTTGTCCTCTCATGCTCACCCCCACCTGGCCCTGCAGTGGGTCAGTATGCTTCCCCGACAGCCAAGCGCTGCTGCCAGGATGGGGTGACACGTCTGCCCATGATGCGTTCCTGCGAGCAGCGGGCAGCCCGCGTGCAGCAGCCGGACTGCCGGGAGCCCTTCCTGTCCTGCTGCCAATTTGCTGAGAGTCTGCGCAAGAAGAGCAGGGACAAGGGCCAGGCGGGCCTCCAACGAGGTGAGGGGCTGGGTGGGGCTAGGGCACAGGTGGCGGCGCTTGGAAAGGCAGAACGGTCCCCTCCTCACTCCCGTCCACCGTGGTCCCCCAGCCCTGGAGATCCTGCAGGAGGAGGACCTGATTGATGAGGATGACATTCCCGTGCGCAGCTTCTTCCCAGAGAACTGGCTCTGGAGAGTGGAAACAGTGGACCGCTTTCAAATGTGAGAGTGTGTGCCGGCCCGGCCTTTTCTCTGTGCTGTGTCTCGGGGCCAGCCGGGGTAGACGGGCCTTCTCTGCCTTTCCCTACACAGATTGACACTGTGGCTCCCCGACTCTCTGACCACGTGGGAGATCCATGGCCTGAGCCTGTCCAAAACCAAAGGTGATGTCACCCTGTCTGGGCCTCAGGTGACCCTGCTTCCATTTCCCTGTACCCCAGCTCCCTGTTCCCTTTGCTCTTAGTGTAGGAAGAGGGTCCAGTGATCTGGGGAGGTCTGTGCCAGCGTGCAGCTGGCGTGGGCCAGAGGGCAGAGGCGGACTGAGACAGAGCTGGGTCACCCCCACCCCTCCCTCCTGTGGCCCTGAAGCTTTGATGGCCCCTCTGATCTCTGCCCCTGTGCCCACGCTTCCTTTCCCTCAGGCCTATGTGTGGCCACCCCAGTCCAGCTCCGGGTGTTCCGCGAGTTCCACCTGCACCTCCGCCTGCCCATGTCTGTCCGCCGCTTTGAGCAGCTGGAGCTGCGGCCTGTCCTCTATAACTACCTGGATAAAAACCTGACTGTGAGGCCCCATGGGAGCCTGAGCATACAGGAGTTGGGGGAGCCAGGGCCCAGTGAGGGGTGGGGAGGCTAACCGGGCCAGGACTCTGGCCATCCTCGTTTTCCTGCCCTCAGGTGAGCGTCCACGTGTCCCCAGTGGAGGGGCTGTGCCTGGCTGGGGGCGGAGGGCTGGCCCAGCAGGTGCTGGTGCCTGCGGGCTCTGCCCGGCCTGTTGCCTTCTCTGTGGTGCCCACGGCAGCCGCCGCTGTGTCTCTGAAGGTGGTGGCTCGAGGGTCCTTCGAATTCCCTGTGGGAGATGCGGTGTCCAAGGTTCTGCAGATTGAGGTGAATGGAGCACCCCTGAATATAAGTCCCCGGGCCCCCAGCTTTGTCCTCCACCCTCAGCACTCTCTCTGCTGGCCAGGCCAGGGGCCCAACACCCGAACCAATGCCTTGGTCTGTTCCCATCTTCTACAATTCTGATCCAACTCTGTCCCTGGAGTTGAAACTCAAAGTTCTGGGGGAGTCTGCGCTAGCAGGGCAGGCTGTAGTCCTGTGTGACCTCACAACCATGTTTTCCCTGAGACAGAAGGAAGGGGCCATCCATAGAGAGGAGCTGGTCTATGAACTCAACCCCTTGGGTGAGTGACCCTCTACCTCCAGCCATTGGTTTCCTAAGTGGGTACAGGTGGTGGGGGATGTGGACAGCAGGACAGGCTGCCAACTTCCCCCATTTCCCCAGACCACCGAGGCCGGACCTTGGAAATACCTGGCAACTCTGATCCCAATATGATCCCTGATGGGGACTTTAACAGCTACGTCAGGGTTACAGGTGGGAGTGCCCTTTAGTCCCTTCCCAGTGGCCACCTTCGGATTCATGTGGGACCTGTGGATCCCTGCTTGGTCCCACTCCCCGTGAGCCTCTGACACAGAGTCCTCAGACCTCCACCCTCTCCCTCCCATGTAGCCTCAGATCCATTGGACACTTTAGGCTCTGAGGGGGCCTTGTCACCAGGAGGCGTGGCCTCCCTCTTGAGGCTTCCTCGAGGCTGTGGGGAGCAAACCATGATCTACTTGGCTCCGACACTGGCTGCTTCCCGCTACCTGGACAAGACAGAGCAGTGGAGCACACTGCCTCCCGAGACCAAGGACCACGCCGTGGATCTGATCCAGAAAGGTTCTGGGTGCAAGGGCAAGCAGGAGGGGGGCCAGGAAAGGACAGTTACTGGAAGATGGACAGCCCAGGAGGCTACAGAGGGAAAGAAAGGGGGCCCCTGATGAGGATGGGGAGCATGGCCTTGGGCTCAAACAGCAGAAGGGTGAGTGTCACCTGAGCGGCCACCTCTCCTCTCCAAGGCTACATGCGGATCCAGCAGTTTCGGAAGGCGGATGGTTCCTATGCGGCTTGGTTGTCACGGGACAGCAGCACCTGGTGAGCTTGGGAGAGTGGTTCCAGGGTTCTGAGGGGGTCAGGGCTGGGGCAGGGGTGGGACAGAGCTGGTATGATGGGAGGGTGGATAACCAGGCACCTGGGGGCGTGGGCATAATGAGAAGCAAGTCCTTATCCCCAACCCTCCTTTCCTGCCCTCCAGGCTCACAGCCTTTGTGTTGAAGGTCCTGAGTTTGGCCCAGGAGCAGGTAGGAGGCTCGCCTGAGAAACTGCAGGAGACATCTAACTGGCTTCTGTCCCAGCAGCAGGCTGACGGCTCGTTCCAGGACCCCTGTCCAGTGTTAGACAGGAGCATGCAGGTGCGGGCATGCTGGGGCTGGCCCGAGAAGCGCCTGTCGGAGGACTCTCTTTGCCCCTTCCCCCTCCTGTTTGACATCTTTTCTCCCCTTACTAGGGGGGTTTGGTGGGCAATGATGAGACTGTGGCACTCACAGCCTTTGTGACCATCGCCCTTCATCATGGGCTGGCCGTCTTCCAGGATGAGGGTGCAGAGCCATTGAAGCAGAGAGTGGTAAGTTCAGTGGCGTTTCTGCCCTCTGCTGGCCCCCAGCTCTCTCCCTTTTTCCTCAGGAACCCAGGGGTCCAGGCCCAAGACCCTCCTCCCGTTTTCTTCCAGGAAGCCTCCATCTCAAAGGCAAGCTCATTTTTGGGGGAGAAAGCAAGTGCTGGGCTCCTGGGTGCCCACGCAGCTGCCATCACGGCCTATGCCCTGACACTGACCAAGGCGCCTGTGGACCTGCTCGGTGTTGCCCACAACAACCTCATGGCAATGGCCCAGGAGACTGGAGGTGAGGGGTGAGGCGCTCCTGGCAGTGAGCCTGAGGCCCAGGGGACCTTAGGATCCCTGAGTGTGCCCAGAGGGAGAGGCTGGATGAAGACTCAGAGGAGGAATGAAGTTATAAGCAGGGGTGGGTTGGGGGAGACTCAGGAGAGCCCAGCAGGGGGTGGCTAAGGGCCAGGGGACCAGGCTCTTCTCCCTGCCTTCCTGTTTACTTGTGGTCTCCCTTCACTTTCAGATAACCTGTACTGGGGCTCAGTCACTGGTTCTCAGAGCAATGCCGTGTCGCCCACCCCGGCTCCTCGCAACCCATCCGACCCCATGCCCCAGGCCCCAGCCCTGTGGATTGAAACCACAGCCTACGCCCTGCTGCACCTCCTGCTTCACGAGGGCAAAGCAGAGATGGCAGACCAGGCTGCGGCCTGGCTCACCCGTCAGGGCAGCTTCCAAGGGGGATTCCGCAGTACCCAAGTAGGGGCCGTCCCCGGGCTCTGGGGGGGGTGGGTAGTCCTCAGACCAAGGGCTTGCTTGAGTCCTGGCTCAACCTCCCTAGGACACGGTGATTGCCCTGGATGCCCTGTCTGCCTACTGGATTGCCTCCCACACCACTGAGGAGAGGGGTCTCAATGTGACTCTCAGCTCCACAGGCCGGAATGGGTTCAAGTCCCACGCGCTGCAGCTGAACAACCGCCAGATTCGCGGCCTGGAGGAGGAGCTGCAGGTGAACCACTCCCTGGTGAACCACTCCCTCGCCTGGGTAGCCAGGACACCTGGGCCTCGTGGCCAGGCCAGAAGCCGTCCCCACCCTCCCACCCGTGGAATCCCCGCAGCACTTCTTCCTGGGGTCTTCGGGGGAAGACTGACTTCCTGGCTGCGTGACCTGGAGCTCTGAGCTTCAGTTTTCTCACTTGTAGAGTAACATACACAGAGTTCACCCTACAGGGTCGTTAGAAGGCTGAAGTGAGATAATTCATGTGCTGGTATAAACTTTGTGGAAATGTGAGGTGGGGAGAGGAGGTGGGGCTGTTTTGAGGAAGGAGATAAGTTATTGGAGCCGCAAAAACAGGTTTGCTTGTGCCCTTCTAACATCGCCTTCCCTTTTCTGTTGCTGAAGTTTTCCTTGGGCAGCAAGATCAATGTGAAGGTGGGAGGAAACAGCAAAGGAACCCTGAAGGTGAGGGCCAGGGAAGGGGTGGGGCCAGGCACTGGTGGAGGAGAGGGTGTGGAGTGAGAGGCCTGTGGGCAGAGGCACATGGTCCGGGGAAGGAGGCAGACACCTCAGGGTTGGTGTCCCGTGCTTCCGTCCTGGGTGTTTTTCCCCCTGCTTGCTTTCGCTTGCTCTCCCCATCTCTGGGTACCTGTTGTTTCCTTTACCCGCCTCAGTGCTGGTGGCTCCGAATCCCACTCCTCAGCCCAGGCCTCTTCCCTGAACCATGGGCCCCACTCGTCCCACTCCCACAGCACCTCAGACGAGGCATGTCCCAAAGCCCTTCTTCATTCTGTGTCTCTTGTCTGGCTGGTGGGAGCCCCTCCCAGCCAGGAGCCCAGCCACTACTCTAGAGGCCGTGTTAGTGGCCCCTCTCCCAAGCCTGTCCTTATGTCCCTAGTGACTCCTCCTCTGCTCCCCTGCTGCCTGTGGCCCTTGGTGCTGCATCCTAGATTCTGTGCTGAGACGGCCTTCTCCCTACCTGGAACTTCTCTCTACCTCCTGTCTCCCCTGTCTGATCCACTGTCCACACGGCAGTGACACTGACCTTCCAAAAGCCCCAGCCAGATCAGCCTTGGGGAAAAGTCACTCCCCGCTGCCCACGGCTCAGATGGCTGGGCCTCTGCCCACCCCTCCGGCCAGACAGCTCTCCTTGTCTACACAGATCCCCTTGCCTTTCCTGTCCTTCCCTGCTTCTTGGCCCACAGGACAAGCTCTTTCTTCTCCTTCAAGCCTTGGCCAGAAGCCTTTCCTGAGCTTTTCAGTCCAGCCTCTTCCCAGCACAGTCTGGAGTGTTGGCCTCTGGGGGCAGGCCCCTGCTTCTTTACCTCTCTGTCTCGCCTGACGCCTGTGGCGAATGTGGTGCCACTCGTGTGTGTGGACTGTGCAGTGACGGGGAGGAAAAGGGGCTGAAGGCCTCAAATCCTGTAGCCCAGGGAGATGCCCTTAGGTATGGCACCAGAGAGGTCTGTGGCCTCACATGTCCCACGTCCTCTCCCTGCCCCTTGCTGAGCCAGGTCCTTCGTACCTACAATGTCCTGGACATGAAGAACACGACCTGCCAGGACCTACAGATAGAAGTGACAGTCAAAGGCCACGTCGAGTACACGAGTGAGTGTGGGGGTTGGGAGGCCTTGGGGCCAGGCAGGGGCTGGCGCAGGGAGCCGGGTGGCCATCCCAGCCCTCCTCACAATGCTTCCCTGTGCAGTGGAAGCAAACGAGGACTATGAGGACTATGAGTACGATGAGCTTCCAGCCAAGGATGACCCAGATGCCCCTCTGCAGCCCGTGACACCCCTGCAGCTGTTTGAGGGTCGGAGGAACCGCCGCAGGAGGGAGGCGCCCAAGGTGGTGGAGGAGCAGGAGTCCAGGGTGCACTACACCGTGTGCATCTGGTGGGCGCCGGGAGCTGCCCTGGGCCAGGGGAGGGAGGGCAGGACCCAGGCTGGGGCTGGGCTTCTGGAGCCCGCGCAGGCAGAACCTGGACGACAGCTCACACGTCTCCACAGGCGGAACGGCAAGGTGGGGCTGTCTGGCATGGCCATCGCGGACGTCACCCTCCTGAGTGGATTCCACGCCCTGCGTGCTGACCTGGAGAAGGTGTGGTCAGCCACCCAGGGCAACCCCCTCTGTCCCAGGTACTGAGCCCTGTCATGTGCAGGGCCTGTGACCAACTCCCCTTTTCCACAGCTGACCTCCCTCTCTGACCGTTACGTGAGTCACTTTGAGACCGAGGGGCCCCACGTCCTGCTGTATTTTGACTCGGTGAGTGGGGAGAGATGAGGCAGGAAGGGACTCGATGGCACCGGGTTTACTGAGTATGCGTTAGGAGGTTTCTCAGGAGACAGCTGTGTCAGCGGCTGGTGCTCTTGAGAACTTGTGATGTCATCAGAGAGAAGGACAAGAATGTGAGCCCGTGAGACACAGCAGAGTAAGGGGCAGACCTGCAGGCGGCAGGGACCGATGCCAGTCAGCAGGGACCCTCAGGGTTTGAGAGGGAGTCTTTCCTAATGCTGGTTTTATTCAGCTTGAGGGGCTGCCTTTGTTTTTTTGTTGAACTTCCTATCTTTTTTTTAATATTAAAGCGTATTTTCCTTTACAAAGTGATGGTGGCCATAGATGATAGTTGTATTTGTCTTTTCACGACCTTATTTGGCTAAAATAGTTATCAACCCTCTTACGGCTCTCAAAACATTTTTATTTATTTATTTAGTAAAGACAGGGTCTCGCTCTGTTGCCCAGGCTGGTCTTGAACTCCCGGCCTCAAGCGATCCTCTGGCCTAGGCCTTTCAAAGTACCGGATTTACAGGCCAGAGCCACCATGCCCGGCCTTCAAAAAAAGTTTTGGAACATTTACTGTAACCTCTGGGAGAAAATGTGAGAAAGGTGTGGTGGCTGTCATTAGCCAGCTGTTTGTAGGTCAGGGAGACCCCTACCCAGTGTGTGCAGAGGGGCCAGCCCCCATCAGCTGGGGAAGCCTGGCTGACACATCTGGGTTGAACACAATAGAAAACACAGAGCCAACAAGATTCCCGGATAGGGAGCTGACGGTGCAGCAGCCTAGCTCAGGAGGGACACTGGCACGGCACCGTGTGGACTGGGCCCGCGTGGGCACGAGGAGGGGTCAGGCCTGGGACCTGAGTCGGGGGGTCAGGCAGGATGACAGAACCTGCAGTTAGGTTGTGGCAAATAAAGGAGGACCCAGTTGTATCCATGACAAAGATGAGGCCGCGAGGAGGGCGAGTGGGTTTGGGGGCAGGCAGAGTGCCTTGGAGAACTTACAGGTCCTGCCACAATCCTAATGCAAGGATGGAGCTGCAAGTTCAGTTTGGGAATCATCAGCCTGGATTGGTTTGGTGGAAGCCAGGGAGTGGTTGAGACCCCCACAGGGGAGCTCTGAGGAAGGAAGTTCCGAAGGAGGGAACGTAAGAAATGACCAGGTCAGAACCAAGGGTGGTCCAGAAGCTAACCCTTAGCTTAGGGACAGTTTCACAGAGAACACGTCCATGATGCAAGACTCTGCTGAGGGCCTGGAGCAGTGAAGACTGGGGCAAGGTCACCCTCTGGGAAGTGAAGTCACCAGAGACCTTGCGGAGCAGCTTTGAGAGTTCTCTGAGTAGGAAGGTAACAGAATGTGAAGGACACTGGAGAGAAGGCCAATAGGAAGCAAACAAAAACAGGCCAAGGAAACCCAGTACAGGGGGCTGCAGGGCCCAGGGAGTGGGTCCCTCATCTCTCCTCCCCACGCTTGGCCAGGTCCCCACCTCCCGGGAGTGCGTGGGCTTTGAGGCTGTGCAGGAAGTGCCGGTGGGGCTGGTGCAGCCGGCCAGCGCAACCCTGTACGACTACTACAACCCCGGTGAGCACTGCAGGACACCCTGAAATTCAGGAGAACTTTGGCATAGGTGCCCTCCTATGGGACAATGGACACCGGGGTAGTGAGGGGGCAGAGAGCCCTGGGGCTCCCTGGGACTGAGGAGGCAGAATGGAGGGGCCTGTGCCCTAACTCCTCTCTGTTCTCCAGAGCGCAGATGTTCTGTGTTTTACGGGGCACCAAGTAAGAGCAGACTCTTGGCCACCTTGTGTTCTGCTGAAGTCTGCCAGTGTGCTGAGGGTGAGACTGAGGGCCTGGGGCGGGGCAGTGGAGGCGGGATGGCCGGGGCCCCCCCCACACTGTCTGATGGGTTCCCCAACTTCAGGGAAGTGCCCTCGCCAGCGTCGCGCCCTGGAGCGGGGTCTGCAGGACGAGGATGGCTACAGGATGAAGTTTGCCTGCTACTACCCCCGTGTGGAGTACGGTCAGTCTTCCCACCGAGGCCCTGGCCTGACCCTCCCTCGGGGACCGGCTGTTTTGGTCTCTCTGGGTGTAGCCTGCTCCTCTTACAGGTCATGCACGCAGCCTGTTTGCTCTGACACCAACTTCCTACCCTCTCAGCCTCAAAGTAACTCACCTTTCCCCCTTCTCCTCACCCCCTCTTAGGCTTCCAGGTTAAGGTTCTCCGAGAAGACAGCAGAGCTGCTTTCCGCCTCTTTGAGACCAAGATCACCCAAGTCCTGCACTTCAGTATGAAGCAAACCGGAGAGGCGGGCAGGGCTGGGGGGAGACAGGGAGGCTGAGGTGTGGCCGAGGACCTGACCATCTGGAAGTGTGAAAATCCCCTTGGGCTGTCAGAAGCCTTGGGCTTGGCCATAAATAGGGAGGCAGTGGCACCTCTCCATGGGGGTGGCGAAGGTGGAATGAGAGGATCTACACAGAGTCCCCAGCCTGGGCTCACCCTGCACCTTCTCTTCCCCTCTGACCACTTTTGCGCACGTCATCCCCGCAGCCAAGGATGTCAAGGCCGCTGCTAATCAGATGCGCAACTTCCTGGTTCGAGCCTCCTGCCGCCTTCGCTTGGAACCTGGGAAAGAATATTTGATCATGGGTCTGGATGGGGCCACCTATGACCTCGAGGGACAGTGAGTCATCTGGTCCCCTCAGTCTCTTGTCCTCCCCATGCCTCGCCACCTAGGCCTTGCCCCTCAGAAGCCAGATGCCTGTGCTCTCCGTTTCCACCTGCCATCCTCCCGAGCCCTGCTGACTGCCCCTTTGCCCCCTGCAGCCCCCAGTACCTGCTGGACTCGAATAGCTGGATCGAGGAGATGCCCTCTGAACGCCTGTGCCGGAGCACCCGCCAGCGGGCAGCCTGTGCCCAGCTCAACGACTTCCTCCAGGAGTATGGCACTCAGGGGTGCCAGGTGTGAGGGCTGCCCTCCCACCTCCGCTGGGAGGAACCTGAACCTGGGAACCATGAAGCTGGAAGCACTGCTGTGTCCGCTTTCATGAACACAGCCTGGGACCAGGGCATATTAAAGGCTTTTGGCAGCAAAGTGTCAGTGTTGGCAGCGAAGTGTCAGTGTGTGTTGCTAGGGCTGAGAGCAGTGCCCCTGCCCGATGCAGTTCTGGGCAGGCCAGGTTGACATAACCTTAGACTCTCTGAGCCCTGATGACCCTTGGGCTGTTCAGCTCTGCTAGAACCTCCCAGATGACCCGCTAGGAGTCTAGTGCTTCACAGGACCACCCCGAGCAGAACTGGGACCCAAGAGCCTGCACCCCAAGGACCAGAGTCCATGCCAAGACCACCCTTCAGCTTCCAAGGCCCTCCACTGCCCGGCTGTCGCCAGTCACCACGGCCTCAGACAGGGCTTGTGCTCAGCTGACACCTGTGACACAGCTCTTCTGCCTCATGAGCTGTTGTCCAGCTACACCTCCCCGACTCTGTCCTCGTGCTGCTGGCGGTTCTGAGGTCTGCAGATTTTAGCTGAGTTCCGGGCTGTTGAAAGCCTGCTGACGCTTGGTTCTGTTATCAGTGGAATGAGGTGACTTTCCCGGAGTTGTGCAATCCTCAGGTCCGGCAGTGTCTTCTTCCAGTTACTGGTTTCAAACAAGCCAAAAGTCTGACTTTGGTGTGTTTGTGAATCCTCTGAGGAAGCCGCTGTTCTCCTGGGGTCTCCCCTTCCCACCGGACCTGCCTAACTTTCCCCCATTTAGTGGCACACCTGGGGTCTTCAGAGATGACTCCGCGTCTGTCCAAAGAAGTTTGGTGAGATCAGTTTCCGTAGAGGTCATGACAGTTCAGCAGCCTGCCATCCAGTCATTCGACAGAAATTCGGGAATCTTTCACTTCATGCCATGCCCTGTGCCAGGTGCCAGAGATACAGCTGCTCACTCCAGGGCTCATCGCTGGGGAGACAGATAAGAGGACGGGCAGTCCCCACCCTCTGTGAAAGATGTGATGTCAGGGAGCAGTGTGGTCCTGTGGGGCATCTAACCAAGTCAGGGGCATTGCCAGGCAGGGACAGGGAAGGCTTCCTGGAGCAGGTGGCCTCCAAGTGGGGCTCTGAAGACTGAGAAGGAGCCAGGCAAAGAGCAGGGGTAGATGAGGGCATCTGGGGCAGAAGGAGAATATACAAAGGCCCAGAGGCCGGGGGCAGGACAGGGTACCTTTGGGGACATTGCATGTAATTGACCACATTCGGAGTTTGGATTTGGAAGTGGTGGAAGAGATGGAGATGGTGAGACAAGTAGTAAGCACGTCAGCCTTCCAGGTGCGCTCCTTTCCGATGAGCACTGTCTTATCCCATGTAACTTTGAGAAGTTTGGGCCTTTCCCACTGTGGCAGAGGTTTCCTGAGGCTCTTGCATACATGGCCCTATGGTTGCTCATCAGATCTTTCTCCCAGTAGCTGCTCAGCATGGTGGTGGCATAAGCCCATTTTCCGGAGCCAGGGATTCAGTTGCAGCAAGACATGGCCCGGTCTGGGAGGTCAACCATGAAGAAGGCAGTAGCTGTCATTGCCCAACCCCAGAAATCCCAATCCTGTTTTCTCCCTCTCAGTCCTGATCATGGATTCAGCAGCAGCGAACTCGCCAATGTAGTGGGTGGCACAGCCAGGGTCTTGACTCTGGCTCTGCAGTAGCACAGTCTGGAAAAGCTCTGAGGGGAGAGAGACCCCCACTGGTCCGAGGGTCTGGCACAGAGCCAGAAATGGGGGGGAAGGTATGGGGCTGGGTCGCCTCTGACCTCTCAGGTACCATCCAGGAGGCCCTGGCCTCTCACTGAACCCGGCCACTCCTCTTTGGCATGGCCTCTTCCCAAATCCCCAAACTGCCTCCTTACTCACAAAAGTGGTCTCTGAGTGTCAGTCCAGTGGGACCCCCACCCCTTATGGCTTCAGTTCCCCAAATAGGGCTGGACCCTTGATCCTGATCCAGCTGTGGCTATCCAGCCCCTTCCTGGGGACTTTGGACTTTGAGGGGGGCATGCCCAGTTGTGCTGGGAATCCATACTTTCCCTGGCTGGAGTAGAACCTGTGGACTGTAGTCCTGAGGGCAGTCATGTTCTGCCTGTGCCTGGAAACACAAGAAACTTGACTGCAGAGAGAAGAAAGAGGAGAGAGGAACAGAGCGAGGAAACCGCCCGTCTCCGGGGCTTTTTCTGTTCCCTATCCTTGACTTTCTAAGACCAGTGGGGTCCCCTCCTCTGCTTCTTTTTCCTGAGTTCTGTGAAATTCCCCAATTCTTATTTTTTATCTCAAACCAGCTCAAGGTGGGCTGTTTTCCTTTCAACCAAAGAAAGGTGCTCCTGGTGGCTAAAGGTACATATTCGACAGCTAGATTTCCAGGCTGGAATCCTGCCCTCCACAACATGCGAACAATACCCGTGTTGCATATAGAGCATGGCTGTGAAGAGTTGAGTGAGTGCCCACAAAGCACTTAGAGCAGTGTCTGGTACATGCTATTACTCCGCAGCGGGAAACCACTTCCTCCTTTGTCTTCTGGGCACTTTTGTGAGTGAAAGGAGGCACTAATAACAATCACACTGGGATACCTGTATATACTGGAATGCCCCAGGCAAACCAGGCTTAAACTGTATTACTCTATCTGTAGCTTAAACTAACAAACAACCCACACAAATCACATTTTGTTCTTCAGGCGATTCAGGAAGGCCTATTAGGCAGGGACTGCCATTTTCTCTCTGAGACAAACATCATGCCAGTAAACTGGCCCACGGTGGGGTGGCAGAGGGAGAGGGCCCAGGTGGGGGCGGACACTATTGCCTGCACAGTTGATGTGGAACCAGAAAGCTGACTCTGGATGCAGGAAAAAGGTCAGGGTTGCATTTCCCTTCCTTGCTTCTTGATGGGTGATCAATTTTTTTGAAATACGGACGTCCCAAGGCCAATGAGACTGGTGTCATTCCAGAAAAGGGCCACTCTGTGGGCGGGTCGGTGGGAGGGTACCTGAAGGTGGGGTCAAGGGAGGCCCCAAAACAGTCTACACAGCAGGAGGGATGGCTGGGGCTCTTGAGCTATAAGTGGCACCTCAGGGCCCTGACGGGCGTCTCGCCATGCTGCTCCTGGGCCTGCTGCTGCTGCTGCCCCTGCTGGCTGGCGCCCGCCTGCTGTGGAACTGGTGGAAGCTCCGGAGCCTCCACCTCCCGCCTCTTGCCCCGGGCTTCTTGCACTTGCTGCAGCCCGACCTCCCAATCTATCTGCTTGGCCTGACTCAGAAATTCGGGCCCATCTACAGGCTCCACCTTGGGCTGCAAGGTGAGAGGCTGATCTCGCTCTGGCCCTCACCATAGGAGGGGGCGGAGGTGACGGAGAGGGTCCTCTCTCCGCTGACGCTGCTTTGGCTGTCTCCCAGATGTGGTGGTGCTGAACTCCAAGAGGACCATTGAGGAAGCCATGGTCAAAAAGTGGGCAGACTTTGCTGGCAGACCTGAGCCACTTACCTGTAAGGGCCGGGGGCATTTTTTCTTTCTTAAAAAAATTTTTTTTTAAGAGATGGGTTCTTGCTATGCTGCCCAGGCTGGTCTTAAATTCCTAGTCTCAAATGATCCTCCCACCTCAGCCTCAAGTGTGAGCCACCTTTGGGGCATCCCCAATCCAGGTCCCTGGAAGCTCTTGGGGGGGCATATCTGGTGGGGAGAAAGCAGGGGTTGGGGAGGCCGAAGAAGGTCAGGCCCTCAGCTGCCTTCATCAGTTCCCACCCTCCAGCCCCCACCTCCTCCTGCAGACAAGCTGGTGTCTAGGAACTACCCGGACCTGTCCTTGGGAGACTACTCCCTGCTCTGGAAAGCCCACAAGAAGCTCACCCGCTCAGCCCTGCTGCTGGGCATCCGTGACTCCATGGAGCCAGTGGTGGAGCAGCTGACCCAGGAGTTCTGTGAGGTAAGGCTGGGCTCCTGAGGCCACCTCGGGTCAGCCTCGCCTCTCACAGTAGCCCCCGCCCTGCCCGCTGCACAGCGGCCTGCTGAACTCACACTGTTTCTCCACAGCGCATGAGAGCCCAGCCCGGCACCCCTGTGGCCATTGAGGAGGAATTCTCTCTCCTCACCTGCAGCATCATCTGTTACCTCACCTTCGGAGACAAGATCAAGGTGCCTCACAGCCCCTCAGGCCCACCCCCAGCCCCTCCCTGAGCCTCTCCTTGTCCTGAACTGAAAGTACTCCATCCTTTCCTGGCAGGACGACAACTTAATGCCTGCCTATTACAAATGTATCCAGGAGGTGTTAAAAACCTGGAGCCACTGGTCCATCCAAATTGTGGACGTGATTCCCTTTCTCAGGGTGAGGACCTGGAGCCTAGACACCCCTGGGTTGTAGGGGAGAGGCTGGGGTGGAGGGAGAGGCTCCTTCCCACAGCTGCATTCTCATGCTTCCTGCCGCAGTTCTTCCCCAATCCAGGTCTCCGGAGGCTGAAGCAGGCCATAGAGAAGAGGGATCACATCGTGGAGATGCAGCTGAGGCAGCACAAGGTGGGGACTGTACGTGGACGGCCTCCCCTCGGCCCACAGCCAGTGATGCTACCGGCCTCAGCATTGCTATGAGGCGGGTTCTTTTGCATACCCCAGTTATGGGCCTGTTGCCACTCTGTACTCCTCTCCCCAGGCCAGCCGCTCAGCCCGCTCCTTTCACCCTCTGCAGGAGAGCCTCGTGGCAGGCCAGTGGAGGGACATGATGGACTACATGCTCCAAGGGGTGGCGCAGCCGAGCATGGAAGAGGGCTCTGGACAGCTCCTGGAAGGGCACGTGCACATGGCTGCAGTGGACCTCCTGATCGGTGGCACTGAGACCACAGCAAACACCCTCTCCTGGGCCGTGGTTTTTTTGCTTCACCACCCTGAGGTGCGTCCTGGGGACAAGCAAAAGGCTCCTTCCCAGCAACCTGGCCAGGGCGGTGGGCACCCTCACTCAGCTCTGAGCACTGTGCGGCTGGGGCTGTGCTTGCCTCACCGGCACTCAGGCTCACTGGGTTGCTGAGGGAGCGGCTGGAGGCTGGGCAGCTGTGGGCTGCTGGGGCAGGACTCCACCCGATCATTCCCCAGATTCAGCAGCGACTGCAGGAGGAGCTAGACCACGAACTGGGCCCTGGTGCCTCCAGCTCCCGGGTCCCCTACAAGGACCGTGCACGGCTGCCCTTGCTCAATGCCACCATCGCCGAGGTGCTGCGCCTGCGGCCCGTTGTGCCCTTAGCCTTGCCCCACCGCACCACACGGCCCAGCAGGTGACTCCCGAGGGTTGGGGATGAGTGAGGAAAGCCCGAGCCCAGGGAGATCCTGGCCAGCCTCTAACTCCAGCCCCCTTCAGCATCTCCGGCTACGACATCCCTGAGGGCACAGTCATCATTCCGAACCTCCAAGGCGCCCACCTGGATGAGACGGTCTGGGAGAGGCCACATGAGTTCTGGCCTGGTATGTGGGGGGCCGGGGGCCTGCCGTGAAAATGTGGTGGAGGCTGGTCCCCGCTGCCGCTGAACGCCTCCCCACCCACCTGTCCACCCGCCCGCAGATCGCTTCCTGGAGCCAGGCAAGAACTCCAGAGCTCTGGCCTTCGGCTGCGGTGCCCGCGTGTGCCTGGGCGAGCCGCTGGCGCGCCTGGAGCTCTTCGTGGTGCTGACCCGACTGCTGCAGGCCTTCACGCTGCTGCCCTCCGGGGACGCCCTGCCCTCCCTGCAGCCCCTGCCCCACTGCAGTGTCATCCTCAAGATGCAGCCTTTCCAAGTGCGGCTGCAGCCCCGGGGGATGGGGGCCCACAGCCCGGGCCAGAGCCAGTGATGGGGCAGGACCGATGCCAGCCGGGTACCTCAGTTTCTCCTTTATTGCTCCTGTACGAACCCCTCCCCTCCCCCCTGTAAACACAGTGCTGCGAGATCGCTGGCAGAGAAGGCTTCCTCCAGCGGCTGGGTGGTGAAGGACCCTGGCTCTTCTCTCGGGGCGACCCCTCAGTGCTCGGCAGTCATACTGGGGTGCGAGAGAGGTGGGCAGCAGCTCAGCCTCCCCCCGCTGGGGAGCGAAAGTTTCTTGGTCTCAGCTTCATTTCCGTGAAGGGCACCGAGAACTCGAAGCCCTTCCAGTGGTACCAGCTCACTCCCTGGGAAAGGGGTTGTCAAGAGAGAGTCAAAGCCGGATGTCCCATCTGCTCTTCCCGTTCCCCTTAAGGAGGTAGCTCCCAGCACTCAACCAACCTCCCCGCAGAGCTCCCTTCCTGACCCTCCGCTGCAGAGGATTGAGGCTTAATTCTGAGCTGGCCCTTTCCAGCCAATAAATCAACTCCAGCTCCCTCTGCGAGGCTGGCATGATTGTTCCATTTCACCCAGCCACTCAGTCCCTTGCCTGTTACACTGTGGGGCTGAAACCTAGGCAGGCCGAGCCCCAGCCACCCCAGCTCTGAGCCGCCTCCCCACCCCTCACCTGATGGTCCACTGTGCTCCCGTAGAGCCCGTTGAGGTTGGCGTAGTGGCAGTTCCTGTACCACCAGGCCCCTCGGTAGGAGACAGCGCAGGAGATGAGCAAGCTGTTGGGGTCCCGATCACGGGCAGAGAAGACACTGCCGCTGTGGTAGCTCATGGAGTCCCCTGGGCAGGGTGGAGGAAGGAGCCATGAGGGCCTCCCCTCCCAGCCTCACCCTCCCAGCCTCACAGCCTCTGCTTACCTGCGGTGCCGTGGTAGCCCTCCAAGTGGAGGCGGTAGTACTCCGCAGCCGAGTCTACGTGGAAGGAGTCGTACTGGGCGAACACAGCCTCGTCCCCAGCCCGCAGGTCCACGCGCATGGAGTAGTCACCTGCCTGTGTCAGGCTGTGCAGGGCCTCATTGCCTGGGGGTGGGATACGTGCCCTCATCAGGGTCCTGGTGTCCACAGGGCCCCCATCCCCATCCGTACTTCCCCAGTCCCTGTGAGGCACTGACCCAGCCAGAACTCTCCAGAGATGTTCCCAAAACCATGGGCATAGTCCTCCCAGTCCCTCCAGAAGTCTGTCTGTCCATCCATGCGGCGCTGGAACACCTGGGAAGCAAGTGGGGGCACCATCAGCCTCTGGCTCCCGGGGCAACAGACCCTGCCCTGCACAGACCCCTGGGCTTCCCAATGCCACCCACCAGCCAGCCGCCCCCATCAGTCTCCATGTCGCAAAACACGTTCAGGGGCCGCTCGCGGTTGCCGTTGAGGAAGATGGTGCTGGTCCTGGAGGCACCGGCTCCGTTCTGCATCTCCTCCCCGCAGTCCCTGGGGAAGGGGATCCGCAGCCCACCTGGGAGAGGAGAGCAGGGGCCAGTCCTTTTCCAAGCCTTAGGCCCTGGCTGCCCACCCAGCCCCCGGCCCCGGGCCCGTGCGTCCAGGTACCCGTGGTGAAAGAGGTGGACACGGGCGGCAGGAGGCTCTGGCCCCACATGGCCTGGAGCCGTGCATTGTAGGAGGTGGAGGGAAAGAGGCCAAGGAGCTGGTGAGATGTGATCCCTCCTGGGAGCAGGATCTCCTGTGGGACAGACAAGGGGGGGTCAGGGGAGAGGGAGGTGGAGACCCTCCGGGAGGGCCAGAGGCAGCACCTCCTGGAATCACCCAGGGAGGGGAGTTGGGTCAGTGGGGCCGGGGCACCTGGTTCTGTCCACCAGGGGTGTGGAAGCTGAGCAGGTAGCCTGCGGGCCGGACTGGGGGCTCAGTCCAAGTGAGCAGGGCGGTGCGGGGGGTCACTTCCTTGGCCTCCAAGTCCCGAGGGGCCTCTAGCCCTAGGAGGGAAAGCAGGAAGAGGAGATGGGGATGAGGCCCAACCTGGCTCCCTCTACCTCCTCTCCCTGTCCCACACACCCCACAGACCCTACCTGTGGTGAAGGTGATGCTGGCTGGGGAAGTGAGGTTGGGGCCCCGCAGGCCACGCACTGTGGCGGTGTAGTTGGTGTGGAGGACAAGGTCATGCAGGGGGTAGTCCACCGCGCTGCCTGGGGTCTCCGCCTGCAGAGGCGGGGCTGGGAGTGTAGAGAGGGGCATCAAGGCCTGCCCCCTCCATCCTCGGCCAGAGTCCAGCCTCCCCCCTGCAATCCCCACCCTGAACAAGTCCCCTCCAGAGGCCTCAGGCCTGCTCACCCCCAGGGGCTGTGACCTGGACGTCATAGGTGTCCACAGGATTCTGGGGGGGCTTCCAGTGCAGCACGGCGAATCCCTCGGTCAAGTTCAGTGCACGCAACTGTGTGGGACCGTCAGGAACTGGGGGAAGGGGAGGGGCTCAGAAGGGTCCCCGCGGCTCTCTCTACTCCGTGCCTCCCCAGACTCCACTGGCCTCCCGTCCGCAATCGGAGCCTCCACCACCTCCCTTTCACCCTCCTCGTTCTCTCTCAACTCCCACCCATGCCGTTTTCTTGGCTCCCACCTCTTGCCCCGGGTCCCAGTCCATCTCACCCGTGGTGAGGAAGCCTGTGAGAGGCTCACTCTCCTCAAAGCCTCGGACCGAGACCACGGTCACCTCATAGCGAGCGCCTGGGATCAGCCCCTGGAGTTTCTGGGTCCGGGCCTGGCCATCCACCTGCACACTCTGAGGCTCCCCTGAAAACATTGGGGATCGAGGGTTACCCAGGGAACCCCAGGGCAGCTGGAGGGTGGGCAGAGTGCAGGGGGGAGAGGAAATGCGAGGCGATGAGCACATGGCAAAGGCACCACCTCCGTCCGCCAGCTGGTAGGAGACTTTGAAGCTGTCCGCCCGGGATGGTGGGGGCATCCAGTTGACCTTGGCTGAGGTCTCCCTGATTTCACTGAATTGGAGGTCACGGGGGCTCTCCAGAACTGCAGAGGGGTCAAGGAACAATGACGCAGGCAGGGGCAGGGAGGCTTCTCCCTGCGAGTCCCCCCCTCGCCTCTGCTCCAGCACAGGCTCACCACCCCTTTTCCTCTAGTCCCCAGGAATGGAAGTCGCTCTGCAGATTCCTCCAGGCCCACCACCAACTCGCCCACCCCCACCGCTGGCTGAGGCACTAGGTCCCCCCCGTGAAGTACAAAGACCCCCACTTTGGGGCAGAGTGTGTGTGGGTCCTTACCTGGGCTGAGGGTGCGGGCGGTTCCCTGGATGCTGTCGGCCTTGTGGGGTCCTCGCAGCCCATACAGTGTCAGGCTGTACAGAGTCCCGGAACGCAGGTCCCGGAGCACGGCCGAGTGCCGCGTCCCCGGCACCATCAGCTCGCGCTGCAGCAGTGGACGCGGATGCGGCTCCAGAGTGCTTGGTGATGGAACCCCAAAGCGGAGCAGGAAGGAGTCGAAGGCCCCCGGTGGGGCCTCCCAGTTGAGCCTCAGTGAACTGGTGGTCACGTCAGTCACAGACAGCTGGGACAGGCGGGGCCTTGACTCCTCTGAGGTCTGACCAGCAGGAGCCAGCCCTGCACGGAGTGGGTGGGGGAGAAGGGATTGGAGACAGAAGCACACCAGCTTGGTGACCCAGAGCACGTCCCTTCCACCCCCCTCCCTGCCCCCGTTTCTCTATCTGTAACCAGGGACTTGCAGCCACAGGGGGGTCCTGTGGGGCAGAGCTAAAGGCCACTCGCATCCAGCCCATCCATCCTCTCTCCCTGGTACCCGCCTCACGCTCTTTCCCTGCGACCACCCCTTCTGAGCCCCCGTTTCTCCCTTCTGAGTCCTAGGCTAGAGGCCGGAGACGCCTGGTGGTACCTGTGGTGCCCTCAGCTGAGAGGGGCCCCAGGCGCTTCCCTTCATGGAGGCCATAGAGGAGGAACCTGTAGGGGGTGCTGGGCTCCAGGCCTGAGATGAGGATCTTGCTCTGGTCGCCGTCCACGAGCAAGGCCTGGGGCTGCCCGTTCGTGTCCTCATACTGGACCACGAAGGAATCAAAGGGGCCCTGGGCCACGCTCCACGAGAGGCGCATGGAGTCTGGGGTTGTGTCGGTCACGGTCAGCACTCCTAGGCGGGGCTCTTCAGGAGGCTCAGGGGCCTCTGGGGCTAACTCTGGGGCTGGTGTGTCCTCTTCTGGGGCTGCGTGGGAGAAGCCCAGGGGAGAATCTGAGTGAGGGGCGCCATGGGGTGCTCCATTTTTATCTTCCAGGCTTGGCCCAAGGCTGAGGTGGGAAGTTTATAGGTCCAGGCCCAGTCAGACAATGAAGTCGCTGTGGCCTCGTGACTCCTGCGAGCTCCCGCGCTGTCTGAGTCAGGTGCTCGCTTCCCCCTTCCACACCCCGGTGTCCTGCCGAGCCCACCTCGAGATATCACAGGCTCTGGCCCCACCCATGCCGGGATACATTCACTGAGCTTGAGGAGTGTGGTGCTCCCTTCTGAGAGAAGCTGAGGGTGGAACTGGCTGGTTGAGGTGACTGGCAAATCCCACCAGCCGTGCCGTGGTCAGGCCTGTCTGAGGTGGGCATCAGCGAGCTCTGGAAGAGGAGCCTGTACCACAAATGCAGCCACTGCTGTTGGTTTCTGTGTCCCCGCTCATTTTGTTTTCCAGTGATGTTCCTCTTAAGAAAATGCTCCTGACTCATCCACGGCAGGGAGGTTTGCCGCTATCTGGACAAGGCCACCCTTCGGGGAGGCGACAGCAGCCCCAGCGAGTAATGAGGAGCAGTGGCAGTGACGGGGCAGAGTCGGGGCTGGGAGATTAGAGAGCCCCTCCCAGGGCCTTTCCCTCCCGCCTGGCCTGGCTCCTGCTCTGGACTCCTTGATGGATGTTGAAGCCCACAGGGCTGCAGACTCCTCCTCCTTCCTGGGGACAGGCCAGGGCGCCCCACTCCGGCCTGCCCACTCCTGCAGTCATCTTTGTCTTCAGCCCAAATGCACAAGGAAACCCACACAAGCTGGCTTGCTATAGCCAGGCACAGCAGCCTCACCTGTCATTCCCAGGGCAGAGACCGGGCCCAGGCGCTTTCCCCCAAGGAGCCCGTAGAGCAGAAACTTGTATTTCTTGCCAGGCTCCAGGTCCTCTACGGTGACTGTGCGCTGGTCTGCGGCCACAGGCACTGCCCTGGGCTGCCCGTCCGTGTCCCTGTACTGGACCACGAAGGAGTCAAAGGGGCCCTGGGCTACCGTCCAGGACAGGCGCAGAGAGCTGGAGGTCTCCTCAGCCACGGTCAGTTCCCCCAGGTGGGGAGGTAGCTCCTTCTCCAGGGGAGCTGTGCAGAGGGAGGAGGGAAAGCTCTTAGTCACATGCTGCCTTTGCCTAAGCCCTGGCAGCCTCCCGGAGGTGTGAGGTTCTGGGAAATGGTCCCTCCAGTGTAGCCCCAGGGACAGCTCCTTGAGGAGACACACAGGCCTGCTCCCGCCATGCCCCACAGGAATGAGGGAGAACAGCCCCCTCCTCCTCTGGAGGCTGCTGCCCAAACTCCTTCCTGCCCCGCCCCTTCCCTGCTGTGATCGAGGATGCGCCAAATTCATTACAGATCATCTCCCGAGGGATGGGTGGCTGGGGGTGCAGAGAGGGCCTTTGTTTACCCTGACCCCCAGCCCCTGAGCAAGAATGAGGCCAGAGCTGAGAGAGACTCCCCGGAGGTCTCTGGGTTGTCACGGAGACACCCCAAACATCGAGAGCTGGTCTGGGCAGCCGGCCAATGCACGGCTCCCATCACTGCCAGGCTGTGATCTCCCCCTTGTCCCCTTGTGGCCATCAGCCTGAACATCCGTGCCTCCTGCTTCCCCAGCCCCACACTGACCCCACTGGGCCGGGGCAGCCAGGGTGGGGCAGGGAGAAGACAGGGGATTAGCTGGGAGAACAGAGGGCAGAGCAGAGGCTTGCCCGGGTGGGGCTGGGGCCGATGGGTGGGGATCTGTACCCCGTCCCCACAGTGAGGGTTTGGGAAGAGAATTACGGAGTCCCAGGGACCCAGGCCCAGACTGGCCGGCTGCTCTGTCCTCCTCTGGGCATAGTGACTCATGGTCCTGGGAGTGGGGTGAGGGTCGGTGACCCACCACACCCCTTCCTCAGGGAGCTGAGTCATAGGCATAGTGACACCAGGTTTTTCCATCGTCTTTCCATAGCCAAGCCCTCCCTTTTCTTCCACCCCTCGGCTCCGAGTCAGGGAGGAGGGAGGAGGATGGGAACCACTACTGAGTCCAGCGCCATTCCCAGCATTATGCAGGTGAGGACACTGAGGTCCCGGGGATGAAGCGGCTTGTCCATGGTCACCCTGGCAAAGGCTAGGACTGGAACTGGAACACAGATCTGCTGGCCCCAAAGCCCGTGTCCCTTTTATTTCCTCAGCAGTCAGCGAATGAAAGGAAGTAATGCATATGCTTCAGAACTGTGCCTGACACACAGAGGGACTCACTTTCGGAGTTAAGATGGTTGTGTCAGGGCTGATAGAGGGAATCTCACGGGAAGGCTGCAGGGCCAGCTCTGAGGGCTCGGATGAGAGGCAGCTCTGGAAAAGGTGGAGGCTGGACTGGGACTCACCTGTGGTGCTGTCAGCAGAGATGGGGCCCAGTCGTTTCCTGCCTGACAGACCATAGAGCAGGAACCTGTATTTCCTACTGGGCTCCAGGCCCTGGACTGTGACCTCCCGCTGGTTGGCTGCCACCGGCACCACCTGGAGCCGACCATCCTTATCCTTGTACTGGACCACGAAGGAGTCGAATTCGCCCTCAGGGACCGTCCACGAGAGGCCCACGGAGTCAGGGGTCGCATCTGTCACAGTCAGCTCCCCCAGGCGGGGAGACGGTTTGGTGTCTGGGGCTGGAAAAGACAGTGAGGTGCATGGAGAGTGGGATGGAGGCAAAGGGGCCACGGAGCTTCCTGGGCTGCTATGGCTCTGTGAGCCGGTCCCAGGAACGGGAGGGTGACTGGGCCAGGAGTAGGAATAAAAGAGGAGCCAGACAAGAAAGCAAGTGTCCCCTGGGGTGCAGGGAAAGTAGGGAGAGGGATGAGTGTGAGTGGGAGAGGAGAGCTCAGGGCCTGGGTTTTCCTGGACCCAATAAATCAGTGGGTGCTGAGGACTGGAGTGTGGGGCACAGAACGTGAAATTCCAACAGGTGCCACAAGGGGGCGAAGGCTCTGGCCGCGGGAGGCCTCCAGCCCTCACTCACCGGTCCTGGCCTCCACAGGGACTGGGCCGTGGCGTTTCCCATTCTGGAGTCCAAAGAGCAGGAACTTGTACTTGCGGGCCGGGTCCAGCCCCGAGACGGCGACCGCTCGGAGGTCTCCGCTCACAGGCACTGCCTGGGGCTGCCCCTGCGCGTCCCTGTACTGTACCAGGAAGGAGTCAAAGGGGCCCTGGGCCACCGTCCATGAGAGGCCCACTGAGTCCGAGGTCACGGCCGCCACCGCCAGCTCCCCCAGGCGGGGCTCCACCGGCAGTGGTGTGGGCAGGGGCGCTGAAAAGAGCAGAGCAGGCCCATGGGTCAGGAGGCAGGACCCTGCGCAAGGGAGGCAGTGCTCTCCCAGGACTGGAGTGAGCATTTCTTAGCGGCCTCCTCTAAAACGCTTGTTTTAGAATCTGTGCCCTGCATTGCTGTAAGCAGCTCACAAACAGTGGTGCATTTAACCCTCGCACAACATATGAAGTGGGTGCCATTATTATCATCACCCCAACTTTGCAGGAATCTGAAGCACAAGGTTAGGAAACGCCTGCAAAGTCGCACAATCACTACATTCGAAGGCACATGCAGATCTGGGCAGCTGGATCTGAAGCACTTTCTGAGCCACTAAAATACTCCTTAAGGGAGCCTGAAGACTAACAAATGAGCACACGAGCAACATGGAGGTTCCAGATCACAATGGGAGAAGGAAGCTACAACAAACAGGGCATGGACTACCTGCCCATCTGACTCCACACAGTCTCCATGAATCCAAGGATGAGGCAGGATCATTAGCAACATGGGAGAAAAGACAGAAACCTAGAGGCCCAGTCAAAAGAGGTGCCAAGATCCAAAGGAGAAACACAAGGGGGCTGCAGAGGTAAACCTGGGGACGAGGGCCTGTCCCCCCACTCACCCGTGATGCCCACGGTGGACACTGGGCCCACGCGCTGCCCCTCGTGGAGGCCGTACAGATGCATCTTGTATTTGCGCCCGGGCTCCAGGCCCCCCACGGTGACCTCGCTCTCCTCGACCCTGACACGCACCACCTGGGGCTGCCCGTCCCTGTCCTTGTACTGCACGGTGAAGGAGTCGAAGCGGCCCTGGGGGACGGTCCAGGAGAGGCTCAGCGAGTCAGGGGAGGATCCTGTCACTGTCAACTCCCCCAGGAGCGGCTCCTCAGGGGCCTCCGGGGCCTCAGTGCTGGGTTCTGTGGGGCTGGGGGTCTCTTCCTCTGCAGTGGAGAAGGAGGGAGAGAGAGTGAGGGGGATGTCCTTGGGTCCTGGGGAAAAGGAGGGAGAAGCCAAGGCTATGACTGGGGGACCTGAGGTCATTTCAGAGAAGTCCATTCTTGGGGCTGGGTGGTCCTGCTCAGCTGACAGCTAACACACGTAACAAGTTCCAGGGTCAGCTGTGGGGGACCTGGCACAGCCACCAGCACAGCAAAACTCCTGATGGCCCCTCCCTGCTCAGGGGGAGCCAGGGGTCAACCACATAGGAAGGCCCAAGGGGAGTCCCAGCCCCAGCCACAAGCAGTTCTGTGGTGCTGACCAGACCCCTGTCCCATTCCCCACCAGTCATCACCAAAGAGCAAGAGGTGGCCCTCCCACAGCTCCCACCCTGGGGCTCCCATCATTCACTCACCCGTCACCCCAATGGCAGACACAGGGCCTACGCGCTGGCCACCGTGGAAGCCGTACAGGTTCATCTTGTATTTATGGTCTGGCTCCAGGCCTGAGATGGTGACCCCGTCCTCGTGCCCCGGCACCCGCACCGCCTTGGGCTGCCCATCCCCATTCCTGTACTGGACCAGGAAGTGGTCAAACTGGCCCTCGGGAACCATCCAGGACAGGCTGAGGGAGTCGGGGGTGGCATCTGTCACGGTCAGCTCCCCCAGGCGAGGCTTGATGGGGGGCTCAGGGGTCATGGTAGGCACTGCTTGGGTGGTCTCGGCTTCATCCTTTGGAGCTGGACAGACACGTGTGGGGACAGTGAGGACCCTGGGTTCTCAGTTCAGCATAGAAAGGATGTGTCACAAAACACAAAGTGCCCAAGAACAGGACGATGCTGCCCACAGCGCCTCCAGCACAGCTCTTCATCCTCTCCTCCCCTGCGGCCTTTCCTATCCCTCACCCTGACCCCCCTGCCCTCGGCCCCCACCTCACCCCCACCTCCCAACACCCAGGCCACCTCTCCCTGTCCCTCCAGCACCGCCTCTCTTTTGAGCACAGCTCCACTTGGCCTCTGCACCCTTACCCTCCCTGCACTGGGGTCTCCTCGCCATCTTTTGTTCACTGGGCTTCTGTCTTTGCTCTGCAACAAGCTCAGCACACTCCTCCCGAGGCCAGAGCCTGGGGTGTGTTCCTGGACCCAGCCCCTCACCAGCTGCCAGCAGCCTCAGAGTTACCTCTCCCCCGAGTTTCCCTGGATACCTTCCTCCCCAACCTCCAGTCCCCGATCCTAGTTTGAGCCACTGTCACCTCTCACCAGGGCCACCAACTGCCTATTGGCTTCCCTGCCTCTAGGCTCCCTGCCACCCCATCCCCATCTTTAGCCCCCACAGATGAGCTTCACACAGGCACAGCTGCTGGGGCCATCTCAGCACAGACCTGGGCAATCACATCCTCATCCCTGGGAGACCCCAGGCCTCCTCTGCTCCCACACTTCAGGACTATCTATTCACTGCAAAGGACACCCCACTCAATCCTCAGTACTTCTCACACACCATGCTCTTTCTAGCCTCCTGGCCTTTGCACCACCTGTGCTGATCTGACACGCTTCACCTTCTCTCTAAAGCTGTCACCAAGCTAAGGCCTGCCTGGCCTCAGATCCTGACTGTCCCCTGAGTATCCACAGGTAGGGTGGTTTAGGTATTCCTGCCTGGCTCTGGGCTTCTTGTCACATGCTCACCCGCCTTTGCTTTCTTACTGGTCCACAGCCTGTCCCCCATGACGTTAGCCCCATTAGGACAGGAACTTTTCCCATTAGGACAGGAACCCTAACTCTGAGCCTAACCTCTGTGAGGATTCATGAATGCAAGAAAAATTCGCTTCAACAAATTCTAAGAGAGTTTCCAAATCTGTTACTGGGAGGAGCTTTGCTACAAAGGTGTTCTGTGATTTGCACACAAATATTCATAGCAGCATTATTCTTGATAGCTAAGAGGTGGAAGCAACCCAGATGTCCATCAATGGATGAAAGGATGAGCAAAGTGTGGTCTGTATGTGTAAAACGAAACATTATTCAGCCTGAAAAGGAAGGAAGTTCTGGCCAGGTGCAGTGGCTCTTGCCTATAATCCCAGCACTTTGGGAGGTCAAGGTGGGAGACTCGCTTGAGGCCAGGAGTTTGAGACCAGCCTGGGCAACATACCGAGACCCCCATTGCCACAGAAAATAAAATAAAAAGGAAATTCTGACTGATGCTACGACATAGATGAACCTTAAAGACATTGTATTTAATGAAATGAACCATTCAAAAAAGACAAATATTGTATGATTGCACTTATATGAGGTACCTAGAGTCAAATTCATAGAGACAGAGAGTAGAATGGTGTTGCCAGGGGCTGGGGCAAGGGGAGAATGGGAGTTCGTGTCTAGTGGGTAGGAAGTTTCAGTGTGGGAAGAGGAGTTCTGGAAGTGGAGGGTGACAGTCCACAGCAATGTGAGTGGACTTCATGCTGGACTGCAAACTAGAAAGCGATTAGAATGGCGAATTATGTCAAGTGTACTTTACTACAATAAAAAACAACAAAAAAAGTGTGTTCCTTGGACCAGTGGCATCAAGATAGATGAGAATCTTGTTAGAAATGGATGGTCGGCTGGGCGCCGTGGCTCACGCCTATGATCCCAGCACTTTGGGAGGCCGAGGAGGGCAGATCACGAGGTCAGGAGATTGAGACCATCCTGGCTAACACGGTGAAACCCATCTCTACTAAAAATATGAAAAAATTAGCTGGGCGTGGTGGCGCACGCCTGTAGTCCCAGTTACTCAGGAGGCTGAGGTAGGAGAATCACTTGAACCCAGGAGGCGGAGGTTCCAGTGAGCCGAGATTGAGCCACTGTACTCCAGCCTGGGTGACAAAGCGAGACTCTATCTCAAAAAAAAAAAAAAGAAAGAAAGAAAAAGAAAGAAATGCATGGTCTCTTGCCCTAGGCCAAGCCTGCTGAATCCAAATCTGCTTTTTAACAAAAATCTCCAGGCATTTGGATACACAAAGGAAGGAATACTCTTCAGAGTATGTTTTCACGAAGACTGGAGAGACAGCAGTGTCTTCCAGGGCCATCTTCCCCACCTCGCCTCACTCACACTTACTCACCTGTCACACCCACAGCGGACACTGGGCCCACGCGCTGCCCCTCGTGGAGGCCGTACAGGTGCATCTTGTATTTGCACCCGGGCTCCAGGCCCCCCACGGTGACCTCGCTCTCCTCGCCCCTGACACGCACCACCTGGGGCCGCCCGTCCCTGTCCTTGTACTGCACAGTGAAGGAGTCGAAGCGGCCCTGGGGGATGGTCCAGGAGAGGCTCAGCGAGTCAGGGGAGGATCCTGTCACTGTCAGCTCCCCCAGGAGCGGCTCCTCAGGGGGCTCCGGGGCCTCCGTGCTGGGTTCTGTGGGGGCGGGAGTTTCTTCCTCTGCAGCTGAGAAGAGGGGACAGAGAAGGTGAGGCAGCTTCCCTGGGGGATGTCCTTGGGTCTTGTGAGGAAGGAGAGCGAAGCTGTGGCCATGAGTGGGGGTCCTGGGGTCAGCTTGGAGAGGCCCATCTTTGGAGCTGGGTGGTCTTGCTCAGTTTACAGTCAACACACATGACAAGCTCTGAGGTCAGTGCTGGGGAACTTGGGACAGCCACCAACAGAGCTCACAGGGCCCTTCTCCACCCAGGAAGATCTGTCAGTCCTCAGGGAAGTGGGGAAAGACAAAAAAGTACCATGGCTCAGCCAAGAGCAGAGGGGCTTCCTGGGCCAGTTCACCCATCACCAGAGAAAGGGAGACCCTCCCACAGGCCCCACTCTGGGGCTCCCATCGTACACTCACCTGTCACCCCAATGACAGAGATGGGGCCCACGCGCTGGCCACCGTGGAAGCCGTACAGGTTCATCTTGTACTTGTGGTCTGGCTCCAGGCCTGAGATGGTGACCCCGTCCTCGTGCCCCGGCACCCGCACCACCTTGGGCTGCCCATCCCCATTCCTGTACTGGACCAGGAAGTGGTCAAACTGGCCCTCGGGGACCATCCAGGACAGGCTGAGGGAGTCAGGGGTGGCATCTGTCACGGTCAGCTCCCCGAGGCGAGGCTTGTTGGGGGGCTCAGGGGTTGTGGTGGGCACTGCTTGGGTGGTCTCTGCTTCATCCTCTGGAGCTGGACAGACACGTGTGGGGAGAGTGAGGTCCCTGGGTTCTCAGTTCAGCATAGAAAGGATGTGTCACAAAACACAAAGTGCCCAAGAGCAGGACGATGCTGCCCACAGCGCCTCCAGCACAGCTCTTCATCCTCTCCTCTCCTGCGGCCTTTCCTATCCCTCACCCTGACCCCCCTGCCCTCAGCCCCCACCTCACCCCCACCTCCCAACACCCAGGCCACCTCTCCCTGTCCCTCCAGCACCGCCTCTCTTTTGAGCACAGCCCCACTCGGCCTCTGCACCCTTAGCCTCCCTGCACTGGTGTCTCCTCGCCATCTTTTGTTCACTGGGCTTCTGTCTTTGCTCCGCAACAAGCTCAGCACACTCCTCCCGAGGCCAGAGCTTGGGGTGTGTTCCTGGACCCAGCCCCTCACCAGCTGCCAGCAGCCTCAGAGTACCTCTCCCCCGAGTTTCCCTGGATACCTTCCTCCCCCACCTCCAGTCCCCAATCCTAGTTTGAGCCACTGTCACCTCTCACCAGGGCCACCAACTGCCTACTGGCCTCCCTGCCTCCAGGCTCCCTGCCACCCCATCCCCATCTTTAGCTCCCACGGATGAACTTCACACAGGCACAGCTGCTGGGGCCATCTCAGCACAGACCTGGGCAACCACATCCTCATCCCTGGGAGACCCCAGGCCTGGTGAGTGGTCCCCTCCTCTGCTCCCACACTTCAGGATGATCCACCAACTGCAAAGGACACCCCACTCAATCCTCAGTGTCTCTCACACACCATGCTCTTTCTAGCCTCCTGGCCTTTGCACTAGCTGTGATGATTTGACATGCTTCACTTCCTCTCCAAAGCTGTCATCAAGCTAAGGCCTGCCTGGCCTCAGGTCCTGGCTGTCCCCTGGGTACTTGTGGGCAGAGTGACTTCACTGTCCCTTCCCAATCCTGGCTTGGCTCCTGGGCTCCACATGCTCATCCTTCTTTGCTTACTTTCCGGTTTTCTGCTTGTGCCCACAATTGTGAGCCCCATGAAAACATGAACTTGTGTGTGTCACTTTCCAGCTTCCGCCTATGAAAGAAAAAGGCAGCCCTGACACCCGTGAGCTGCCCTTTCCCTCTGCCAGGCCACGGCTGCTTGGGGC
Source organism: Homo sapiens (assembly GCF_000001405.40). Lineage (NCBI taxonomy): Eukaryota > Metazoa > Chordata > Mammalia > Primates > Hominidae > Homo > Homo sapiens. The sequence continues at coordinate 3,278,076 of NT_167248.2, forward strand.
TGGCCTGGCACAGTCTGGTCTTGGCGTGGTCCAGTTGAACAGACAATTTCATGGAACATCAACATCAGACTAGGCCATTTGTCAGTAGGATGGATCAAGACAAGAACAAGGCCAGTCTGTGATCATGTCTCAGTAAGGATGAACTCTAACATTTTCCAAAGCACAAAAATAACCAAACATCACCCATCCAGCTAATCTGAGTGATAGCTGCTTCTTTACCAATGGCAGCTTTGGCCTTGCTCTAGTTGACCTCCCCAAAGATAAGACTTAGTGAGACGCCCGGTAATAGGGTTATCCCTTCTTCCTGACAGCGTCTAATAAAGAGCAAAACCTTGCTTCCTTAAATGCTTTCCTAAAACACCAAACACAAGCCCAGTTCCTTAACAATCTCTTTCTAAAGCCTCTTCCTAAGTCACCCCACAGTCCTCCTGCACTGCATGGAGCATAATTCCATCCATTCAATTTTAGGTGAGTTTCTGGAGGTCGTTGGCCAGAGGACATTGATACCCTAAAATTACAGTGTCCGGATCAGGGCAAGGAATTCTTTGCTGAATGAACAAATTGGCCCATTGGTGAGAAAGGTCTGTTCCTATTCCTATTCCAATAGTGGGCTTCCAGAGTGTGCAGTCGACGCGCTGCCCCTCACTGCCTTCTGTCTTCCTTCACGGCCCCTAGTCAACTCCACAGAGAAAGCACACTACCAGGAATCAGGGACGCAGAAAAATTCTCTTCAACAGATTTCAAAAGAGGGTCCAATTCCTTTGTCGTGAAGAACTTTGCTACTCAAGGGGCGTGATCATGGGCCAGTAGCATCCGCATCATTTCTTGTTGGAAATGCAGAATCTCTGGCCCTAGCCCAAACCTGTTGAACCCCAATCTGCCTCTTAGCAAGATCCCCAAGCATGGAAACGTGCAAAAGAAGCCCGGCTGGTGAGAATATTTTTGTTTTCATGAAGTTGCAGAGAAAGCAACATCTTCTAGGGCCATCTTCCTCACTCACAAACACTCACCTGTCACACCCACGGTGGACACCGGGCCCACACGCCGCCCCTCGTGGAGGCCGTACAGGTGCATCTTGTATTTGCGCCCGGGCTCCAGGCCCCCCACGGTGACCTCGCTCTCCTCGCCCCTGACACGCATCACCTGGGGCCGCCCGTCCCTGTCCTTGTACTGCACGGTGAAGGAGTCGAAGTGGCCCTGGGGGATGGTCCAGGAGAGGCTCAGCGAGTCAGGGGAGGATCCTGTCACTGTCAGCTCCCCCAGGAGCGGCTCCTCAGGGGGCTCCGGGGCCTCAGTGCTGAGTTCCGTGGGGCTGGGGGTCTCTTCCTCTGCAGCTGAGAAAAGGAGATATAGAGAGGATGCCAGGTGCCTGGGGGATGTGCTCAGGTCTTCAAGGGAAGGAGGGAGAAACCATGGCCACTACTGGGTATGTGAGGTCATTTCAGAAAAGCCCATTCTTGGGGCTGGGTGGTCCTGCTCAACTGACAGCTAACACACATGACAAGTTCCAGGGTCAGCTGTGGGGGACCTGGGACAGTCACCAGCACAGCAGAACTCCTGATGGCCCCTCCCTGCTCAGGAGGAGCCAGGGGTCAGCCTCAGAGGAAGGCCCAAGGGGAGCCCCAGCCACAAGCAGGTCTGTGGTGCTGACCGGACCCCTGGCCCATTCCCCACCAGTCATCACCAAAGAGCAAGAGGGTGACCCTCCCACGGCTCCCACCCTGGGGCTGCCATCATCCACTCACCCGTCACCCCAATGACAGAGATGGGGCCCACGCGCTGGCCACCGTGGAAGCCGTACAGGTTCATCTTGTATTTATGGTCTGGCTCCAGGCCTGAGATGGTGACCCCGTCCTCGTGCCCCGGCACCCGCACCGCCTTGGGCTGCCCATCCCCATTCCTGTACTGGACCAGGAAGTGGTCAAACTGGCCCTCGGGAACCGTCCAGGACAGGCTGAGGGAGTCAGGGGTGGCATCTGTCATGGTCAGCTCCCCCAGGCGAGGCTTGATGGGGGGCTCAGGGGTCATGGTAGGCACTGCTTGGGTGGTCTCGGCTTCATCCTCTGGAGTTGGACAGACACGTGTGGGGACAGTGAGGTCCCTGGCTCCTCAGTTCAGCATAGAAAGGATGTGTCACAAAACACAAAGTGCCCAAGAGCAGGACGATGCTGCCCACAGCCCCTCCAGCACAGCTCTTCATCCTCTCCTCTCCTGTGGCCTTTCCTATCCCTCACCCTGACCCTCCTGCCCTCAGCCCCCACCTCACCCCCACCTCCCAACACCCAGGCCACCTCTCCCTGTCCCTCCAGCACCGCCTCTCTTTTGAGCACAGCCCCACTCGGCCTCTGCACCCCTGGCCTCCCAGCACTGGGGTCTCTTCGCCATCTTTTGTTCACTGGGCTTCTGTCTTTGCTCCGCAACAAGCTCAGCACACTCCTCCCGAGGCCAGAGCCTGGGGTGTGTTCCTGGATCCAGCTCCTCACCAGCTGCCAGCAGCCTCAGAGCATCTTTACCCTGAATTCCCCTGGATACCTTCCTACCCCACCTCCAGTCCCCGATCCTAGTTTGAGCCACTGTCACCTCTCACCAGGGCCACCAACTGCCTACTGGCCTCGCTGCCTCCAGGCTCCCTGCCACCCCATCCCCATCTTCAGCCCCCACGGATGAGCTTCACACAGGCACAGCTGCTGGGGCCATCTCAGCACAGACCTGGGCAACCACATCCTCATCCCTGGGAGACCCCAGGCCTGGTGAGTGGTCCCCTCCTCTGCTCCCACACTTCAGGATGAGATACTCACCGTAAAGGACACCCCACTCAATCCTCAGTGCCTCTCACGTGCCATGCTCTTTCTAGCCTCCTGGCCTTTGCACCAGCTGTGATTATCTGACACACTTCACCTTCTCTCTAAAGCTGTCACCAAGCTAAGGCATGCCTGGCCTCAGGTCCTGGCTGTCCCCTGGGTACCCATGGGCAGGGTGACTTAGGCGTCCCTGTCTGGTCCTGACCTGAGCCCTGGGCCTCCCTATCACATGCTCACCCGCCTTTGCTTCATTTGCTGGATTGCAGCCTGTCTCTCCATGACATGTCTTTCCATAATGTTGCTATATTCCTTTCACTGTGAGCCCCATCAAGACAGAAATATGTATAGGAAAATGGTAGAGAAGGGCACATTTTCTAGGGCTGTCTTCCAACCCTGCCCCACCCACACTCACTCACCTGTGACGCCCACGGCAGACACCGGGCCCAGGCGCCGCCCCTCGTGGAGGCCGTACAGGTGCATCTTGTACTTGCGCCCAGGCTCCAGGCCCCTCACAGTGACCTTGCTCTCCTGGCCCCCAACACGCACCGCCTGGGGCCGCCCGTCCCTGTCCTTGTACTGCACGGTGAAGGAGTCAAAGCGGCCCTGGGGGACGGTCCAGGAAAGGCTCAGCGAGTCAGGGGAGGATCCTGTCACTGTCAGCTCCCCCAGGAGAGGCTCCTCGGGGGGCCCTGGGGCCTCTGTGCCTGGTTCTGTAGGGCTGGGGGTCTCGTCCACATCCTCTTGTGGGGCTGAAAGGTAATATAGGGGGATACAGAGTTTAAGGGTTTAAGGGCAACTTGCTTTGCTGGTGCTGTCAACAGAGGTCATACATCAAATGCGCCCCTCCAGAGCAGGCTGAGGGCTGGGGCAGCTTTGTGTTCGCCGTTCAGTGACTCTTGGAATAAGAGCCGGTGAGGTATCCCCGAGCCCCCGGCCTGTACTGCTGGCAGAGCTGCACTGTTAGAAACCTCCAGAAGGCAACTGAGACATAGTGTCAGGAGCCAAAGTAATTCTCATTTCCTTTGACCCAATAATCCCAGTTCTGGGCATCTGTCCTAAGAAAATTATTAAAGCAGGAAAAAGTTATAGCATGGAAGAACTCACGATGGGGTTATTCATGACAGCAGATGTGTCAGGAACACAAATGACCCGTAGAAGATGATTAATTTTGTTATAGTGCTTTCACCGCAACGCATCAAATAACCATTGAAACGATGATGAATGCTGGTTGTGTAGCCGTGAGGTGAATGATTACAATGTACTTGTGTACAAAAAAGGAAGTGCCAAGAACTTTATGAACACTGATTGCAACTTTAAAACACGCTCTGCATGCAAAATACAGGAAGGGAATGTGCACTACACACATTGTTATTAATGCCGGCAGCTGGGGGAGAAAGTAGGACTATGAGATTCTTGTTTTCTGTTTTTCAAGCTTTCCACATAATGTTGCTGTATTATTTTCACTAGAAAAACGTGGGCTAAAAAAGAAATTCTGGGCTGGGAGCAGTGGTTCACGCCTGTAATCCTAGCATTTTGGGAGGCCGAGGCGGGTGGATCACCTGAGGTTGGGAATTCGAGTCTAGCTTGGCCAATATCATGAAACCCGGTCTCTACTGAAAATACAAAAATTAGCCAGGCGTGGTGGCATGCACCTGTAATCCCAGCTACTCAGGAGGCTGAGGCAGGACAATCACTTGAACCTGGGAGGCAGAGGTTGCAGTGAGCTGAGATCACACCACTGCACTCCAGCCTGGGCAACAGAGTGAGACTCAGTCTCAAAAAAAAAAAAAAAAAAGAAAAAGAAAGAAAGAAATTCTGGGCTACAACAATTAATAATAGAGTGTGGGGTGGGGGTGGGGCAGCAATACACATAGAACAGGAGGGGCAGGGGTGGGTCCCTCAGCCTGTCCTCTGTCAGTTCTGTGGTTCCCCACAGTGGAGACAGGAACACAAAACTGAACGTGGACCAGGACAGCTTACCCCCGGAATGTGAATTTTTCTAATGTTCATTTTCCAATAATTTCCCTATTCCCCCTGTTTCCCAACACTCAGATGGTCCTCTGAACATGCATATGGAAATGAGGCCTCTCCCCCAGGAATCGGGGATGCCGATTGAGAGTGCTTCCTCTGTCTGGATGGCCTTTGGGAGATGAGCTCGCACCTCACTTGGTGCCACAGAGGTGGCGACCTGCCCTGCAAGAGACCGCCTCTCAGCAGGGCTGATTCTTCCCCATCGGTAGGAATTCTCGAAAAATACTCTAAGCCAGGCATAACAACCTGGCTGAGGATGACTTAGAAAAGGCAGCCTGACTGAGCATTTGGAATTCAATTAACCTCATGATCTCCACCCCTCCAATTTCTTATGGACTAGAAATTTTGAACTTCCTCATAATTAGAAATGAAATAAGTCTGGCTGGGCGCGGTGGCTCATGCCTGTAATCCCAGCACTTTGGGAGGCCGAGGCGGGCAGATCACCTGAGGTCAGGAGTTTGAGCAGCCTGACCAACATGGAGAAACTCCCTCTCTACTAAAAATACAAAATTAGCCAGATGTGGTGGCGCATGCCTGTAATCCCAGCTACTCGGGAGGCTGAGGCAGGAGAATCGCTTGAATCCAGGAGGCAGAGGTTGTAGTGAGCCGAGATCATGCCATTGCACTCCAGCCTGGGCGACAAGAGCGAAACTTCATCTCAAAAAAAAAAAGAAGGAAATAAATGAAATAAGCCACAAGAGCGATAGAGGAGTAGGACAGATGGAGTGTAAAGAAGGAGAAGACATTATATATTTTCTCTTTTCCCTTTCCCTGATTGTAAAAGAAATGTTTGCCATTTAAGAAAATTTGGACTATGCAGAATAGAATAATACAGAAAAAAATGTGCTGGAATATTCTATTCTATCTAACAAATCAGGCAACCCGTGGGATGTGTTTCTTTCCAGTCTTCTTGCCATGCCTGTTACTTTCAAATGGTTGTGATTAGCATCCTTACAAAAATTTGGGCTCCTTTTTCTTCTTTTTTGAGACTGAGTTTGGCTGTATCTGCCAGGCTGGAGTGCAGTGGTGATCTCGGCTCACTGCAACCTCTGCCTCCCGGGTTCAAGCAATTCTCGTGCCTCCACCTCCCAAGTAACTGGGATTACAGGCATGTGCCACCATGCTTGGCTAATTTTTGTATTTTTAGTAGAGATGGGGTTTCACCATGTTGGCTAGACTGGTCTGGAACTCCTGACCTCAGGCGATCAGCCCGCCTCGGCCTCCCAAAGTGCTGGGATTACAGGCGTAAGCCACTGTGCCCAGCCTAGGCTCTCTTTTTTCAATGTAACATTATAAAGTAAGGGTCTTATGTTAAAACATTTCAGTGGCGGCATAATAGCTCTTTTTATAGATGTTGCCTAAATTATTTAGTCATCCCAACGTGGTTTGACGTTGGATTGTTCCTCTTGTGTGCATTTGTGTATGTGGTTATAACAAAGAATGCTGTTATTAAGATGGAAAGAAAGGAAAATTCTCGTAAGTCAGGCTTGGTGTGCGCCTGACATATTTCACTCTTGGAGGTTATCAGTGGTTGACCATTAGAGGGAGGCCACGCCAAAGTGAACAAGCAAACCGCTAGCATAGGCCACAGCCACAGGGCACAGAGGGAGGGCAGGACACAGGAGACAAGTCTGGACCCACAGGGCTTGGTGAAAGGGCACAGCAGTAAACCAGGTACCCATGAGGGAAAGGTGGTTACCCCGAGACTCCAAGCACTACTCACCAGTCACGCCCACGGTGGACACCGGGCCCACGCGCCGCCCCTCGTGGAGGCCATACAGGTGCATCTTGTATTTGCGCCCAGGCTCCAGGCCCCCCACGGTGACCTCGCTCTCCTCGCCCCCAACACGCACCACCTGGGGCCGCCCGTCCCTGTCCTTGTACTGCACGGTGAAGGAGTCGAAGCGGCCCTGGGGGACGGTCCAGGAGAGGCTCAGCGAGTCAGGGGAGGATCCTGTCACTGTTAGCTCCCCCAGGAGCGGCTCCTCAGGGGGCTCCGGGGCCTCCATGCTGGGTTCTGTGGGGCTGGGGGTCTCTTCCTCTGCAGCTGAGAAAAAGGGACACAGAGAGGATGGCAGGGTCCCTGGGGGATGTGCTTACGTCGTGGGGAAAAGGAGGGAGAAGGCTATGACTAGGGGACATATGAAATAGCCAAGGCTATGACTAGGGGACCTGAGGTCAGTTCAGAGAGGCCCATTCTTGGGGTCCTGCTCAGCTGACAGCTAACACACATGACAAATTCCAGGGTCAGCTGTGGGGGACCTGGCACAGCCACCAGCACAGCAAAACTCCCAATGGCCCCTCCCTGCTCAGGGGGAGCCAGGGGTCAACCACACAAAAAGGTACAATGGGAGCCCCAGCCCCAGCCACAAGTAGGTCTGTGGTGCTGACCAGACCCGTCCCATTCCCCACCAGTCATCACCAAAGAGCAAGAGGGTGACCCTCCCATGGCTCCCACCCTGGGGCTCCCATCGTCCACTCACCTGTCACCCCGATGGCAGACACGGGGCCCACACGCTGGCCACCGTGGAAGCCGTACAGGTTCATCTTGTACTTGTTGTCTGGCTCCAGGCCGGAGATGGTGACCCTGTCCTCATGTCCTGGCACCCGTGTTGCCTTGGGCTGCCCATCCCCATTCTTGTACTGGACCAGGAAGTGGTCAAACTGTCCCTCGGGAACCGTCCAGGACAGGCTGAGGGAGTCAGGGGTCGCATCTGTCACGGTCAGCTCCTCCAGGCGAGGCTTGATGGGGGGTTCAGGGGTGGGAGGTTCTGTCGAGGCTGGGGCCATTTCTTCATCCTTTCCTGGGGCTGCATCAGAAAATAGAATGGGTGGGCATGCCTGGTGGGCCTCCTTTTAACCAAGGGACTCTGGGATTCTCTTAGACACACCAAGGGCCCACAGTCTGGATGCTGGTGCCCCAAGCTTAGAATATCATTTTTCTGCTTTGAATGTTCAGTTAACACCACACCTGTGGTGAAGTCATGATGCTCAGGTGGCATCCCTGTGATGCTCAGTGTGCAGGCCTGGGACCCTTAGGAGCTGCCAAGCAAATTTGTTTTGCAGGACAGAATTGATGCTTTATAAGAACACCAACCAGGGCCGGGTGTGGTGGCTCAGGCCTGTAATCTCAGCACTTTGGGAGGCCGAGGCGGGCGGATCATGAGGTCAGGAGATTGAGACCATCCTGGCTAACACTGTGAAACCCCGTCTTTACTAAAAATACAAAAAATTAGCCAGGCGTGTTGGTGGGCACCTGTAGTCCCAGCTACTCAGGAGGCTGAGGCAGGAGAATGGCATGAACCCAGGAGGCGGAGCTTGCGGTGAGCCAAGATCACGCCACTGCACTCCATCCTGGGAGACAGCGAGACTCCTTCTCAAGAAAAAAACAAACAAACAAAAACAAACAAACAAACAAAAAACAGCAATCAGGGCCAGGCGTGGTGGCTCAGGCCTGTAATCCCAGCACTTTGGGAGGCCGAGGCGGGAGGATCACCTGAGGTCAGGAGCTTGAGACCAGCCTGGCCAACATGGCGAAATCCTGTCTGTACTAAAAATACAAAAATTAGCCAGATGTGCTGGTGCATGCCTGTAATCCCAGCTACTCGGAAGGCTGAGGCAGGAGAACTGCTTGGACCTGGGAGGCAGAGGTTGCAATGAGCTGAGATCGCACCACGGCACTCCAGCCTGAGAGCCTGGGTGACAGAGTGAGACTCCATCTCAACATAAAGAAAAAAAAAAAAAAGAAAACAAAGAACACCAACCAAACACAACAGGCAAGTTGTATCAGGAGGTTCATCCACCTGGGCTTGGAAATTCCACCTAATCCTGAGCATTTTTAGAAACCAACTTAGATTTTATAGCTGAGGGTAGAGAGATGAGACCACATGAGGGCATCTTTGCAGCTGAGTTGTCTCTGGACCTGCAGTAGCTCTGCTAACTTACGGCAGAGAGAGCACCTCCAGTGATGCCAGTTCTTTTGGCCCGTGTGAAATCAATTGCTTTGTTTTCATTGATTTCTTTAATCTTTTCTGCTCTTCATAGGGTTTTATTCTGCCTTGATAGTGGTATTACAAATTCATCACATTTCATTTGTCTGTTCTTTTTGAGAACTGAGTCTTAAGCATCTAGGGGGTAACAGCTATAAAAGAGCTTACAAAAGCATCAAAGAGCCGAGTTACAGGGTAATGAAAGGAAAATGCCTTATTAAGTTGTGCACATGGCCAATATTTACAATTAAAGTAATAGTATCCATGTTAACAGGATTCAGTGTTGTTTTAAAAATAAATGGGTATTAATTTGGGAGCTTAGAGAACACATACAATTTTTCCCACTGAAATCAGTGATAATTATGAGAATTTGCCCTAAGCGGTTTTCAGGAACTACCTACCTTCCTCAGAAGGGAAAGACTGCAGTTATCTCTCATTGTGTGTGAGAGCCAAGCCACACTCCCGCCCACCCTTCACGACAGGTATGGTTATTCCTTCTTTACAGATGAGGAAAAGGATGTACAGAGAGGTCGTGTGTCTGTTTTTTGTTTGCTTGTTTTGTTTTTTTGAGACAGGGTCTCACTCTGTCACACAGGCTGGAGTGCAGTGGCTCGATCTCGGCTCACTGCAACCTCCGCCTCCTGGGTTCAAGCGATTCTCCCGCCTTAGCCTCCCGAGTAGCTGGGACTACAGGCATGTGCCACCACACCCAGCTAATTTTTGTATTTTTAGTAGAGATGGGGGTTTCATGATGTTGGCCAGGCTGGTCTCGAACTCCTGACCTCAAGTGATCTGCCCCCTTCGGCCTCCCAAAGTGCTGGGATTACAGGCATGAGCCACCGTGCCCAGACAGGTTGTGTGAGTCTCTTGAGGACACACAGCTCAAATGGGCTGAAGCTATGGTCAACCCCAGGTGTGCCTCAGTCTGTGTTATTTTCCTGGTCCCCCACCTCTTTGGGAACCCAAAAAGCCCATGTGTAACGGGCAGAAGACCTGGGGCAATACCAAAGTCTCGGAGTGAAGGCACCAGCAGAACCATTCCCAGGAGCTTGGGAGGCTTGGTCTCAGGGAAAGTAAAATAAAGCCACCAGATACTGACAATAAAAGGGAAACTGAGTCTAGTTCAGGGCAGGGCCCAGTGCCCTACTGCACACTCACCAGTTAAACCAACAGCAGACACGGGGCCCACGCGCTGGCCACCGTGGAAGCCGTACAGGTTCATCTTGTACTTGTGGTCTGGCTCCAGGCCCGAGATGGTGACCCCATCCTCGTGTCCCGGCACCCGCACCGCCTTGGGCTGCCCGTCCCCATTCTTAAACTGGACCAAGAAATGGTCAAACTGGCCCTCGGGGACTGTCCAGGAGAGGCTGAGGGAGTCGGAGGTGATGTCTCTCACTGTCATCTGCCCTAGGCGCAGCTTTGCAAGAGGAGCATCAGGGGACTCCTCTTCGGGGGCTAGGAAGAGATAGAAACAGAATCTTTTCTCTTGCTGCAAGGAGGTGTTGAGGCCCCAGCTGTCTTGAATTCAGGTCAGAAGGTGGGCCCAGTCTGGCCCTAACTTAAGATCGATTTCTGATTATAATCATAATCAGATTTTGTGGCTTCCTTATGGTCCCTCAACCATGCCAGGCAGCCTCCTACCTCAGTACTTTTACAATGACTGTTCCCTCTACCTAAATGTTCTTTCCCCAGATATCTTCATGGCTCATCCCCACACTTCCTTTAAGTCTTTGTTCAAAAGCCACCTTCTTCTGTGGGCCTTCCCTGATTACTCTATTTAAAATTTCAGTTTTCTCAATTGCAATGTATCCTCCTTCTATAGACCTGATTTCAGCAACAAATTGGGAAACAACAATTATGAGACACTCGGGAGACTGTAGCACTACCTGGATACTTGATATCAAGGCATGATTGTTCACTTATCAAGGTATGCTAATTGTATTGTGGAATTTTATTATTTATTTATTTATTTTTTGACACAGAGTCTCACTCTGTCACCCAGGCTGGAGTGCAGTGGCGCGATCTTGGCTCACTGCAACCTCCACCTCCTGGGTGCAAGCAATTTCTTGTGCCTCAACCCCCGCCAAGTAGCTGGGACTACAGGCACGTGCCACCACGCTCCGCTTTTTTGTACTTTTTAAAATTTATTATTATTATTATTATTTTTAGTAGAGACGGGGTTTCACCATGTTGGTCAGGCTGGTCTTGAACTCTTTACCTCAAGTGATCCACCTGCCTTGGCCTCCCAAAGTGCTGGGATTACAAGCGTGAACCACCTCACCTGGCCATATTGTGGATTTTTTAAAAATAATTTTTTTAAAAAGAGATATACCTTTAAATATTTAGTGATGAAAGCATAGGATGTCTGTGGTTCGTTTTTAAAATACTGCAGTAGTATAACCACACAATGCAATACTGTTTGGCAATAAAAAGCAGTGTAGTGGCTGAGAGAGAGCAGGTGGCTCATGCCTGCTATCCCAGCACTTTGTAAGGCCCAGGCAGGAGGATTCCTTGAAGCCAGGAGTTTGATATCAGCCTGGGTAACACTGTGAGACCCCATCTCTACAAAAAATTTTTTTAAATTAGCTGAGTGTGGTGGCGAGCACCTGTGGCCCCAGCTACCTGGGGGGCTGAGATGGGAGGATGGCTTGAGCCCAGGAGTCTGGGGCTGCAGTGAGCTATGATCATGCCACTGCACTATAGCCTGGGCAATAGAGTGGGAATTTGTCTCAAAAAAAATCAATCAATCAATCAATCAATCAATCAATAGCAATGTAGTAAGTATAGTACTTCTACATGCTACATTGATGAACCTCAAAAACATTATGCTCAGTGAAAGAAGCTAGACACAAAAGAATACATATTGTTTGAGTCCATTTATACGAAATGTTCTGGAACAGCAATCTACAGAGAAAAAAGTAGATTAGTTATAAACTAGGGCTGAGGTAGGAATGGGTCTGGACCCAAGATTTCTTTTGGGGGTGATGGAAAAGTTCTAAAATTAGATCGTGGTGATGGCTGCACAAGTAGGTAAAGATACTAAAATCAGTAAGTTGTACACTAAAAACAAGTGTATTTTATGCCACATGAATTATATCTCCATAAAGGTGTTAATAAAGAAAACATTCAGGCCGGGTGTGGCGGCTCACGCCTGGAATCCTATCACTTTGGCTGAGGTGGGAGGATAACTTGAGCCCAGGAGTTCGAGACTGGCCTGGGCAACATGGCTAAACCCTGTCTCTACAAAAAATACAAAAAATTAGCTGGGCATGGTGGAGTGCACTTGTAGTCCCAGCTATTCGGGAGGCTGAAGTGGGAGGATCCCTTAAGCCCAGGAGGTTGAGGCTGCAGTGCAGTGAATTGTGACTGTGCCAGTACACTCTAGCCCAGGCGACAGAGTGAGACCTTGTCTAAAAAGAAAGAAAGAAAAGAATGAAAGAAAGAAAGAAAGAGAAAGAAAGAAAGGAAGGAAGAAAGAAAGAAAGAAAGAAAGAAAGAAAGAAAGAAAACATTCTAGTGATTCTAGTGGAGGAAGTGGGTGGGGCAGAGATGAGCCAGACTGGCCAGAAGTCGATATTTGATTGAAGGAGGATGGCAGGGTCTTTGTACTATTCTTTCTGTTTATACATTTGAAATTTTATTTAACAAATACTTATTAATTTAATTAATTTGTATTTCAAAAATGTGTTCCAATCTCACAAAAAGAGTTATGTATAGAGTTCCAAGGAAAAGCGGAGAGCCACAAACCAGCCAGTGAATCACCTCCCAAGAGGCCTCAGTCCCTGGGGGCCTTTCCCATATGGCTCCGACACTTCTCCTGGATTTGCTCTCTCTGTCCCCAGATCACACCTGTCCTGAGCCTTTAGTGAACAGGGTGTATTACAGGTTTGAGGTCTTGGGGTTCTGGGTCCCTAGTGGAGGAGATGCTGGAGGCTGTACTTTGCTAAGACCCAACCCAGAGGGCTCTGCAGTGCACACTCACCCGTGACGCCCACAGCAGACACTGGGCCCACGCGCCGCCCCTCGTGGAGGCCGTACAGGTGCATCTTGTACTTGCGCCCAGGCTCCAGGCCCCCCACGGTGACTTCACTCTCCTCGCCCCCAACACGCACCACCTGGGGCCGCCCGTCCCTGTCCTTGTACTGCACGGTGAAGGAGTCGAAGCGGCCCTGGGGGACGGTCCAGGAGAGGCTCAGCGAGTCAGGGGAGGATCCTGTCACTGTTAGCTCCCCCAGGAGCGGCTCCTCAGCGGGCTCCGGGGCCTCCATGCTGGGTTCTGTGGGGCTGGGGGTCTCTTCCTCTGCAGCTGAGAAGGAGGAAGAGAGAGTGAGGGGGATGTCCTTGGGTACTGGGGAAAAGGAGGGAGAAGCCAAGGCTATGACTGGGGGACCCGAGGTCAGTTCAGAGAGGCCTACTCTTGGGGCTGGGTGGTCCTGCTCAGCTGACAGCTAACACACATGACAAGTTCCAGGGTCAGCTGTGGGGGACCTGGGACAGCCACCAGCACAGCAAAATTCCCGATGGCCCCTCTCTGTTCAGGAGGAGCCAGTGGTCAACCTCACAGGAAGGCCCAAGGGGAGCCCCAGCCCCAGCCACAAGCAGGTCTGTGGTGCTGACCAGACCCTTGTCCCATTCCCCACCAGTCATCACCAAAGAGCAAGAGGGTGACCCTCCCATGGCTCCCACCCTGGGGCTCCCATCATCCACTCACCTGTCACCCCGACGACAGACACAGGGCCCATGCGCTGGCCACCGTGGAAGCCGTACAGGTTCATCTTGTATTTATGGTCTGGCTCCAGGCCCGAGATGGTGACCCCTTCCTCGTGCCCTGGCACCCTCACTGCCTTGGGCTGCCCATCTCCATTCCTGTACTGGACCAGGAAGTGGTCAAACTGTCCCTCGGGAACTGTCCAGGACAGGCTGAGGGAGTCAGGGGTGGCATCTGTCACGGTCAGCTCCCCCAGGCGAGGCTTGATGGGGGGCTCGGGGGTTGCGGTGGGAGGTTCTGAAGGCTTCTCCTCCTCCGGGACTGGACAGAGACATGGAAAGAGAGGACTGAGGTGGGCAGGGTATCCGCGGGACTCTGCTGTCCTCTGGACTCTCCCAGCCATCTGAAAGGAGGCATAGTGGGCAGAGTTCTCACCTGTCAGGGCCTCGACATGGACAGGACCTACATGCTTCCCATCACTGAAACCATACAGGGTCACCAGGTATCTGTGGTCGGATTCCAGGCCAGAGAGGGTGATGTCATTCCGGTCACCTCCTATGCGGACCATTTGGAGTTGCCCGTCTCTATCTGTGTACTGGATTTCGAAGGAGTCAAATTCTCCCTCAGTCACCATCCAGGAGAGATGCAGGGTGTGTGACGTGGCCTCCTCCACTGTCAACTCCCCGAGGTGGGGCTCAGGCGCTGGAGGGGTCGGGGCCGTGGTCTCAGTTTCCGTTTCTTCCCTGCCGGCTGGTTCACAGAGACAGGTAGAGACAGATGGCTGGTGTGTCGCTGCACCCAGACTCTCAGGAGGAGTGAGGGAGGAGAGGGAGTGAGGGCAAGCAGTCAGCAATCGAAAGACCAGCTTTTGCTGCACATGGGTGAATTTCAAAAGCATTGTGCTAATTGCAAGAAATGAAACACAAGAGACTGCGTATTGTGATTCCATTACATGGAGAGTCAAAATGCTGTCTCCAGGATGATCGAAAGCAGACAGTGGTTGCTGGAGGCTGGGACTGGGGCAACTGACTCTAAAGGGGCACAAGGAAACTTTCTGGATCAATGGAAATGATATAAAATGGGAAGCTCAGAGATCTTATGGCTCAGTCAGACCAGGAGAGCCAGGCGGGAAGGAGGCACAGGTGTTCCAGCTGCCGCACACTCACCAGTAATGGCGACGGCCGAGATGGGGCCCACACGCTTGCCGTGGTGCAGCCCGTAGAGCAGCAGCTTGTACCTGTGGGCAGGGTCCAGGCCCGGCACGCTGACCTCCCTGAGGCTGCCCTCCACGGGCACCACCTGGGGCTGCCCGTCCCTGTCTTTGTACTGGACCACAAAGGAGTCAAACTGGCCCTCAGGGACTGTCCAGGAGAGGCCCACGGAGTTCTGGGTCACGGTGGTCACCTGCAGCTCCTCCCCCAGACGGGGTTTTGGGGGACGCTTTGTTCCAGTATCATCCATAGCACTCCGGGCTTCTGAGATGGAGACACGGAGAGGAAACGGCTGAGCTGTTTCTGGAAGACTGGGTGACCTCGACGGGCAGGATTGAGAGGTCTGGAGACAGGGCTTTGCGTGGCTGAGTCCTGCCGGGCTGTGCTAGGGGCTTGTGCAGGGACGTGGGGAGCTGGATCTGAGCCGAGTGGCTGGGGCCAAATAATGGTAATGGCAGCCACCACAAGTGACCGTCTGCTGCTTGGCCTGAGGGGAGCAGAGCAGGGACCTGCAGGGAATGCCCCTCACCCGTGGTGCCGTCGGCAGTGAGAGGGCCATGGCGCTTCTTGCCCAGGAGGCCATAGAGGAGGAATCTGTACTTGCGGCCGGCATCCAGAGGGGTGACAGTGACAGAGCGCTCATGGCCCTCCACGGGCACCACCTGGGGCCCGTCTTTGTCCTTGAACTGGACCACAAAAGAGTCGAACTGGCCCTCAGGAACCGTCCAGGAGAGGCGCAGTGAGTCTGGGGTGGGGTCTGTCACCCACAGCTCCCCAAGGCGGGGTGGGGCCCCTGGGCTGGCGTCACCTCGGGCAACTGGAGAGGAAAGGTTCTTGTGTTTATTTTTTCCAAAACGACTCCTTGACTGCCTCCCTCTGGGGCTGGAAAAACCCAGAACTGCCAAATGCTCAGTGCTTCCCCAAAATATTTCCATCACCTCCCATCCTCACCACCATCTCCGTCTGGTCCATGCCTCTCTCCCCTTGACCCAAGTGGGGAGGGTCACCTGTCCTGAGTCACCTCCAGGAAAAGAGATTCCCTAGCTCCCTGCCTCATCTTACTCCCCTTTCTGTCCAGCCTCTTTCCGCCTCTCACAGACTGCTTCCCCAGCAGGGTGCAGCTTCTTACAGACTGGGTCTCTATCTCCTCTTACCCAGGAGCACACGATTTGGCCGTGATTTGGCCGGCCCCTGAGGAAAGGGGTGATTTGGCCGGCCCCGAGGAGCGCAGGATCCCTGATGGGGGCACTCGGCAGGTCAGGGAGGCAGGATGTTACGACACAGGTAGTTCTCACCCTTCTCCGTTCCCTTTCTTATTCTGCACCGGCTGGCCCGGGAGAACTAAGGCTCCCACTGGGCCTGGTGAAGGAGCGTGGGCTGCCTGTGAGAATGTTGAGGGGGATGATGCCGGGGAGCTCAGGCAGGGAAGGGATCTGGTGTCTGCCTGAGGAGCCATCCCAGGGCTTGAGAAGGAGCTGGCCTGCTGCCTTCCTGGACGGTGAGGACGCTGACGACATTGTTATTGCAAGTTTTCTGGCAATAGGGAGCCCCCAGGGGCAGGGGAGGGCTTGGACTGAACCCTCGGAAAGGGGCACAGCTGGGCTGGGCTCCTCTGGTTCCCAATTTCTGAGACTTCAGGAGGAGGGCAGAGAAGGAAGGGCAGCCTCTGTAGGAGGCACATATGGGCCCAGACAGGCCTGAGCTAGGAGGGTGAGAACCTGGGTGAGAGTCACAGGGGAGACAACAAAGACTCTCAGGAGGTGATGGATTCGCAAGGCAGGAAGGGTTCCTGGCTCCCCTCGCCCCTTCTCCCAGCACCCCCAGGCTCCCACATCCACCCTGCAGGAAGAGGCCTGTAGGGGCTTCCCTCATCCAACAAAAGTGGAAATTACGAGAAGAGAGGCAGAGTCAGCAGGGGACAGCAGACCCAGGAACTGGCCCCACTCTCCTGGTCCTCATCTGCTTTGCGGCTTTTCTTTCTTTTTTTTTTTTTTTGGTCTTTTTTGAGACGGAGTCTGGCTCTATCACCCAGGCTGGAGTGCAGTGGCGCAATCTCAGCTCCCTGCAGCCTCCACCTCCTGGGTTCAAGTGATTCTTGTGCCTCAGACTCCCGAGTAGCTGGAATTACTAGCACCCATCACCACACCCAGCTAATTTTTGTCTTTTTAGTAGAGACAGGGTTTTGCCATGTTGGCCAGACTGGTCTCAAACTCCTGACCTGCCTTGGACTCCCAAAGTGCTGGGATTACAGGCATGAGTCACTGTGCTAGCCCCATGTGGCTTTTCAAATGAGACAGAGCAGGTGGACAAAGGGAAGACTCAGCAGAGGGAGTGAAGAGAAGGGTGGGAAGGCTGTGGCCTCAGGCTCAGCTGTGTAGGGGCCCATCTCACCCGTCTTTGCCTCCACAGAGACTGGGCTGCGTCGTTTCCCATCCTGGATCCCAAAGAGCAGGAACTTGTACTTGCGGGAGGGTTCCAGGTCAGGGATAGTGACCTCCCGCTGATCTGCAGCCACGGGCACCACCTGGGGCTGCCCGTCCCTGTCCTTGTACTGAACCACAAAGGAGTCGAATTCACCCTCAGGGACTGTCCATGAGAGGCCCACAGAGTCAGGGGTTATATCCGTCACTGTCAGCTCCCCTAGGCGTGGCTCCAGGGGAGGCTTGGAGGCCTCTGTGGCTGGGGCTGGTGGGAGGGGAGCTGGGATTTGGGAAGACAAAGAACATGGTTGAGATCTCTGAGGGGAGAACCCCTGGGCTTTGAGGGCCTCAGGGGGGCTGTGAACTGAGATGGGGAATAGTTACACCTTTACTTCCAGACCTCTAACTGAAATGCAGCATTTCTTTCCAAAACTAATATAGAAAACCCACCAGAGTAGAATTATTGTGACTTTGTTACCAATAGAAACCACAGATGTTTTCATGTCACCTTAGAGTTATTGCAGAAACTTTAAAATACCTTTTATATCCATCACTGCTTCTAAATTTTGTAGTTTAGTAAACGCGCCACCAAGTCCTGTTATTTAATGAACTAGTAAATAAGTCCAAGTATTACTAAATCGTAACTTTGGATTTTTAAGAAATATTTTGGGCCGGGTGCAGTGGCTCATGCCAGGCCGAGGCGGGTGGATCACCTGAGGTCAGGAGTTTGAGGCCAGCCTGGCCAACATGGCGAAACCCTGTTTCTACTAAAAATACAAAAAATTAGCTGGGTGTGGTGGCACGTGCCCGTAATCCCAGTTACTCGGGAGGCTGAGGCAGGAGAATTGCTTGAACTTGGGAAGCGGAGGTTGCAGTGAGCCGAGATCGCGCCATTGCACTCCAGCCTGGATGACAAGAGCAAAACTCCATCTCAAAAATAAAAAAGAAATATTTTGATAACTGTCTATAAATATAATGTTTCCTTTGTAATCCTATACAGCTTATTTTACAGATTTAAAAACATTGCCTTCAGGTGGGGTAGGGGTTTCACCAGATGCCACAGCACAACAATCATGGAGAACCTGTGCCCAGGAAGCCATGAGGGGCAGGAAGGAGCCCAGAGCAAGAGTGAGGCAGCCTCCTG
This sequence comes from Homo sapiens, assembly GCF_000001405.40. Taxonomy (NCBI): domain Eukaryota; kingdom Metazoa; phylum Chordata; class Mammalia; order Primates; family Hominidae; genus Homo; species Homo sapiens. The sequence goes on from NT_167248.2 coordinate 3,296,380, forward strand.
GAGAGATGAAAACTCTCCAGGGCTGGGATGGAATGCAGTGCAGGCAGGTGGCAGAGGACTCCTGAGAAGGGACTCAGGATGTAAAGCACTTCGCCTCAACAAAAAAGGGCAGAAGCAGGAGGTGGCAGCTGTGTCCAAGTCACAGCAGGGTTGTAAAGAGAAGGGGTGGAAACAGCTGTGGGCAGTCGGAGAGGGGGAGAGAAAGTCTGTGGCTGGATTTAGGCCAAATGGAAATAAGACATTCCCCTGGGCGGGGGGCAGAGTGGAGATGGGGAAGGAGCTGGAGGGCTGAGAAGGCTCTAGCCCTGGGAGGAGTAAAGGGGTCAGGGAACAGAAAGACTGGCAGGGTCACCGAGCCAGGGCCTGAGGGGATCTAGCCCCTCAGTGAGGGTGCGGTGGTACCAAGGCAGGGCTGGAAGAAGGGCCATGGGGTGGGGGAGCTCTGGGTAACCAGAGATGAGGACTGAGTCCCCCCATTACTCACCCGTCACGATGACCACAGACAGGGGGCCCATGCGTTGCCCATCATGTAGTCCATACATGTTCATCTTATATTTTCTCTCAGGCTCCAGGTTGTAGACTGTGACCTCTCGCTGGTCTGCCGCCACCGGCACCACCTGGGGCTGCCCGTCCTTGTCCTTGTACTGGACTATGAAGGAGTCAAACTGGCCCTCGGGGACTGTCCAGGAGAGGCCCACAGAGTTGGGGGTCACATCTGTCACTGTCAGCTCTCCTAGGCGTGGCTCCAGCGGGGACTCAGTGGCTGGAGGGGTCTCTTCTTGTTGTGGGGCTGGGACAGAGATGGTAGGGGGCTGTTAGTAAAGAATCCCCCTTTTCTTATAGTAATGATGTCTAGTTATTTATTTTTTATTTTTTATTTTTGAGATGGAGTCTCGCTGTCACCCAGAGCAGTGGGCGACCTCGGCTCACTGCAGCCTCTGCCTCCCGGGTTCAAGCGATCCTCCTGCCTTAGCCTCCCAAGTAGCTGGGACTACAGGCGTGCGCCACCATGCCTGCCTAATTTTGTGTGTGTGTGTATTTTTAGTGGAGACGGCATTTGCCATGTTGGCCAGGCTGGTCTCAAACCCCTGACCTCAGGTGATCCACCTGCCTCAGCCCCCAAAGTGCTGGGATTACAGGTGTGAGCCACCACACCCAGCGATGTCTGTTGCATTTGTGGAACCCGCATGATGGTTTTGATGTAAAAGCGCATTGATCTGAACATCTGTCTGGTCAACAGTCCTTCACTAGGTCCCTGCTCGGTGTCTGAGGCTGCATTTGTTGGGGGAGAAGAGTATCAACCATCACTGACACCCTGGGAGAGCGCTGAAATTCCATCTATATGCCAATGACTCCAGATTTACACCCTCTGTCCAGACCTCTCCTGAACCCCAGACTAGTGTTCGTGCAACGTCTTCCTTGGAGGCCTACTTGTGTGTCAAACTCAACAAGTCCAAAACTGAGCCTCTGAGCTTCCTGACACCTGCTCCCGCCACAGCCTCCCCACCTCAGTAAGATTACAACTTTTTTTTTTTGAGACGGAGTTTCGCTGTTGTTGCTCAGGCTGGTGTGCGATGGCGCCCTCTCGGCTCACCGCAACCTACGCCTCCTGGGTTCAAGCGATTCTCCTGCCTTAGCCTCCTGAGTAGCTGGGATTACAGGCATGTGCCACCACGTCCGGCTAATTTTGTATTTTCAGTAGAGATGGGGTTTCTCCACGTTAGTCAGGTTGGTCTTGAACTCCCGACCTCAGGTGATCCGCCCGCCTCGGCCTCCCCAAGTGCTGGGATTACAGGCATGATCCTCCACGCCTGACCAGGATTACAACTTCATTCTTCCAGCTGCTCAGATCTAAACCGCCAGAGTCATCCCCGAGTCCTCTCTTAAACTCCACATCCGCCCTGTGGGTATCCGCCTGTTGTCACTACCTTCAGAGTCTGACCCCTCCTTGCCACCTCCAAGCACCACTGGCTCCTCCTGGATTATCACAACATTCTCTCAGGTCATCGCCTTCTGCCCTCACCCCCCTTTAGTCTGTTGGGTCTGCAGCCAGAAGGATCCTGTTAACACATTAGCCAGAGCTGGTTCCCGCAGTGGCTTCTACCTCACTCAGGGTGAAATCCAAGTCCTGCACTGGCCTCTGAGGTCCCATATTCATCTCTTAGATCATTCCCTATTGCCTGCCCTCCTCCAACTCCACCACAAAACATACTGCATTCCTCACTGTCTGCAGACATCTGGGGCTGCTTCTCGCCTGCCAGTCTCTGCATTTGCTCTTCCTTCTGTCTGGGATGCTCTTTCCCCAAAGGCCTAGGTGGCTGTCCTCTCACCTCCTTCAGGGCTTTCCTCAGACACTGCCCTCGCAGTGAGGCCCTTGCTGTCTCCCTACTAGGCTCTGCTTTTCCCCACCACTCATCACTGTCACATCCGGTGCCACTGACATATTTGTGCAATTTGTTGCCTGTCCCTCTCCACTAGAATGTGAGCTCCTCAGGCAGGAGCTCTGCTTTATTCACTGCTGTGTCCCAGTCCCTGGCACACAGTAGGTGCTCCACAGATGTCTGTAAAATAATGAGTGGTCTACAGGTCTGGGCTCAGGACCTGCAGATCCCCACCACTCCCGCATGAGGAAGCACTCATTAGTGAGCAAACTAGAAGGTGGTCCCAAGAGGCAAAATGGCAGAGAAGGTGGCTGGATGGGTGGGGCTCCCAAGAACTTGTTTCTCTGGCTTCCTCCGGAGGGCAAGACAAGGCTCCAAGCAAGTGACAACTGCTTAAAACAGGCTGGTGACCAGGCCTCGGGCAGACAGAAATGAGTCAGGCTGGGGAGGGCAGGCATGGAGGCAGCTGAGGTGGTGGGAGGGAGCAGAGTGACCACCAAGTATTGAACATCTACTATGTACAGGTACCAGGCTGGGCATTTTCTCTCATTTCATTTGCCTTCTAACCTTACTTGTTCCTGCAGCACCCATTCCCTGCTCCTTTTTGCCCTCTCTGCACTTCTTTCCATGAGGGAATGAAAATGTCCTTCACCATCAAGCTTTATTGCTGGTGGTTTGGATTAACTGGAAAGGTACAATTATAACGATTCATGACTCTGGCAGTCCCCATGCTGCATGTGGGACAGTCCTTTTCCAATTTAGAAGTGTGTCTAATGAGCTCCACGCACCTCTCCCCCTGGCAACTGCACTGTGTGTGCTGCCAGACACAGCCCCCAGCTTGGCGGACTCCAGCTGCTTCGTCCTTTTGCTGCTCTGATAATGCGCACTGATGCCCATTTCTTTCCTAAAGGGCCTCATCTATTTTATCCAGGACGTGTAAAATACATGTTTCAAAATATCCAGCATTAGAACATGGATATACAGGGATTCCCTCACGGGAAGGTCTGAGCAAAAGATGAATGAGCTGAGAAGATGCCAGACATGTTACATCACCACCTTTAACCGTGACAACAAGCTGGGCAGCGTTTACTCCCTCCTGAATATGAGGAAGCTGAGGTTCCAGGAGAGGAGGTAAGTTTTTCAAGATCATACAGCTGGCTGGGCACGGTGCCTCACGCCTGTAATCCCAGCACTTTGGGAGGCCAAGGCGGGTGGATCATCTGAGGTCAGAAGTTCGAGACCAGCCTGGCTAACATGGTGAAACCCTGTCTCTACTAAAAATACAAAAATTAGCCGGGTGTGGTGGTGGGCGCCTGTAATCCCAGCTACTTGGGGGGCTGAGGCAGGAGGACTGCTTGAACCTGGGAGCCAGAGGTTGCAGTGAGCTGAGATCATGCCACTGCACTCCAGCCTGGGTGACAAAGCAAGACTCTGTCTCAAAAAAATAATAATAAAATAAAAAAATAAAAATCATACAGCTGAGAACAGAGGAAGACAGGAAGGAACTCAGTTTCTCAGATTCCCAAACTCCATTTATCTCTACTGCACCGACTTGGTCAGTGCCTGACAGAGCCCATCCTTACCCCAGGGACCAGGCACAGGGCCTCACAGAGCCCAGTGTGGGTCCCTGGGACAGAGCGGCAGAGGGAGGGTCACTCCAGGAGCAGACTTGGCAGCATGTCTGGGCCTGGCACCAGCCTCCACCCTACAACCTCAGGCCCCAAGGACAGCCACTCAGGGTGGCTTTGCCGTCTCCCTCTTCTCAGGGCTGACTGAGGCAAAGAAAATAAATTGAGGGTGGAAGGTTCTGGAAATGAAATCAACCAAGTCATGATGAGGCTGAGCTTGGTGGAATTACAGAAACCATGTTCTGGAAAACTATCTATTTCTCTACTTTTAATTTTTTAATCTTTCCCCTTATAGTAAAAGTTATTTTTGAGAAAGGTGTGTCTTTGTTTCTGTGAGCAAAGGAAAAAAGAGATTCCCCTCACTGTGACTAAACCGGGCAGGTCAGCCCGAGGGTCCCAGAGGCACTGCTGTCCACTCAGCCTCTTGGGCTGAGGCCCTGGAGAGGAGGTGCCCAGGCTGGTCCTGTGTGGTGGTGGATGTGGCCCTGTAACCAGGCCTGAGAGAAAGGGTGGAAGGGATGTTCTTCTTTGCTGTAAAGTCACTCACTGGATGAGTATTAAAGAAAGCCTTGTGGCCGGGCGTGGTGGCTTATGCCTATAATCCCAGCACTTTGGAAGGCCAAGGCGGGTGGATCACTTGAGGTCAAGAGTTTGAGACCAGCCTGGCTGACATGGTAAAACCCCATCTCTATTAAAAATACAAAAATTAGCCAGGTGTGGTGGTGCATGCCTGTAATCCCAGCTACTCGGGAGGCTGAGGCAGGAGAATCACTTGAACCTGGGAGGCAAAGGTTGCAGTGAGCCAAGATTGCACCACTGCATTCCAGCCTGGGCAACAGAGCTCAAAAAACAGAAAGAAAGGAAAAAAAGAAAGAAAGAGAGAGAGAGAGACAGAAAGAAAGAGAAAGAAAGAAAGAAAGAAAGAAAGAAAGAAAGAAAGAAAGAAAGAAAAAGAGAGAAAGAAGAAAGAGAAAGCTTTGTGGTCAGGCGTGGTGGCTCACGCCTGTAATACCAGAACTTTGGGAGGCCGAGGCAGGTGGCTCACTTGAGGATCTGGAGTTTGAGACCAGCCTGGCCAACACGGTGAACCCCGTCTCTACTAAAAATACAAAAAAGTAACCAGGTGTGGTGGCACGCATCTGTAGTCCCAGCTATTTGGGAGGCTGAGGCAGGAGAATCACTTGAACTTGGGAGGCAGAGGTTGCAGTGAGCTGAGATCGCACCACTGCACTCCAGGCTGGGCAACAGAGTGAGACTCTGTCTCAAAAAAAAAAAAAAAAAAAAAAAGACAAGAAAGAAAAGAAAGCTTGCTTCAAGCTGTACTGATGAAGAGGCCAATGTCTCACGCGCATTCTCCCATCCAAGTACTAACCAGACCTGACCCTGCTTAGCTTCTGAGATCAGAGGAGATGATAGGACACCTTCAGGGTGGTATGGCCTTAGATTCATGTGCATTCTGACCAAGTAACTGAACCAGCCAAAGGGGACAAAGCAGACCTCAGAGTAAGAATATTTATAACAATTCTCACAGCAGACACTGGCAGCATATTTACTTTTGCCAGGCCCATTCTTGATGCTTTACATCTGTTAACTCACTTAACCCTCACAATAACTCTGTGAGGTAGGTGTCCCCATTTTACGGACAAGGAAACAGAGGTGCAGAAAGTTTAAAACTTGCTCAGGGCCATGAAAGCTGGTGGTACGCCAGTCCCCAGTGACATGCTCTTTCTAGGTCTTCCCCTGGCAGGCAGCCTCAAGGTTCCACTGGAGCAAGGAGAGCAACTGGCTACAGGGAAGCTGGGAGCCAGCAGTGGGAGGGAACCAAAGCAGGCCCCTGCCCCTCACTCACCTGTCACGCCCACGGCGGACACCGGGCCCACGCGCTGCCCCTCGTGGAGGCCGTACAGGTGCATCTTGTACTTGTGCCCGGGCTCTAGGCCTCCCACGGTGACCTCACTCTCCTTGCCCCCAACACGCACCGCCTGGGGCCGCCCATCCCTGTCCTTGTACTGCACGGTGAAAGAGTCGAAGCTGCCCTGGGGGACGGTCCAGAAGAGGCTCAGCGAATCAGGGGAGGATCCTGTCACTGTCAGCTCCCCCAGGAGCGGCTCCTCGGGGGACTCCGGGGCCTCCGTGCCCAGTTCTGTGGGGCTGGGGGTCTCGTCCACATCCTCCTGAGGAGCTGAGAGAAGAGATAGAGGCATAAAGGGCTGCTGGCTTTGCTGCTGCTGCCCACAGATGACAGCCATGGAAATGCCCTTACGCTGTGGGCTCAGGGGCTCTGTAGCCTTTGTATTTGCCATTCGGTCACTCACGGATGGAGAAGGCTGAGACAGCCCTTGCCCCATCCTGCTCTGGTGGGTTCTGTGGGGGTGAGGGGTCTCCCTTCGTGTCTGAGAAAGGAGCTGAGATGGGAAGAGAGGAAGCCTCTGAGGGTTCTTCCAAACCACGTTCACTGACAGTGCTGACCTCAGACAGTGAGGAGGGCAGTGAGGCCTCTTCCTACCTGTGCCCTCCCCAGGGCACTCTGGCTGCCCCACCCCTCATATGAGGATCTGACCATGGAATGTGCTCTTGCTGTGGCCTCCCCAGGCAGCCCTGCCCCTCCCTCCCCTTTAACCCCAAGGAATGAATTGCTAAGGCAGGGCTCCAGGCATGAGTGGGAGAAAAATTCTGGGGTGAGTGGGATCCAAGGAGAGACATGTCCTTCCCTGGCTGGCTCTGGAATCACAGCCCTGTGGGCACCTACCCGCCCCCTACAGTTAGGTCTCTGCTGAGGCTCCATGGAGTGGGGAGACTGTGGCACAAGGGAAACCAGCCCTTCTGTGACCTGCTACATGGGGGACTACTTTGGGATAGCAGATTGAGGAAAGAATTGGCAAGAATGACAACCCAGAGGAAGGGAGGGAGGTGGGGAGCAAAAAAGATTACTGGGAAGTGAGAGAGTCAGGGAGAAATTGCAGCTCACTCTGAAAATGCTTTGCTGCTCCAAGCACTATTCTAAGTGTGTGGGCTTTTTTTGTTTTTGTTTTTGTTTTTTTTTTGAGATGGAGTCTCACTCTGTCGCCCAGGCTGGAATGCAGTGGCGCGATCTCGGCTCACTGCAAGCTCCGCCTCCCGGGTTCACGCCATTCTCCTGCCTCATCCTCTTGAGTAGCTGGGACTACAGGCACCTGCCACCATGCCTGGCTAATTTTTTGTATTTTTAGTGGAGACACGGTTTCACCGTGTTAGCCAGGATGGTCTCGATCTCCTGACCTCGTGATCCACCCGCCTTGGCCTCCCAAAATGCTGGGATTACAGGCATGAGCCACTGTGCCTGGCCTTTCTAAGTGTTATACATATATTAACTCATGTAATTCCAACAGCTCTGTGCAGAGGGACTGAAATCCAGCCACCTGACAGAAGGGAAAGCTGAGGCACAGAGAGGTTAAGCAATTTGCACAAGGTCCTACAGGAAGTAAGTTGCAAGGCTGGTAGTGAGACTCGGGCAGTTGGCTCCGGAGTCTTTGCTCCTAACCACTATCCACACTATCTCTCATCAAATAATTCACAGGCCAGGGGAATGGCACTGGACAGGGAAAGGCTGGGGACATGGAGGAACAGGCTGGGATGCTGGGCTGAACACAATCCCTTTGCCCTGTTCCAAGGGGGCTGGGAGTCAAGGAGTCGGGAGCTGAGAGGAGTCCTCTTCATGCTGCAAAAAGGCTAGAGAAACGTGGTGCTCTTGTCACTTGGATCTGCCACCTCTGAACACAGCAGAAATGGCAGGAGGTTGTGGGCAGCAGGTGACAGAAGCCCAGAAGTGACCATGGCCCAAACCAGACCATGAAGGAGCCCAGTAAAAACTGAGGGGTGAGAACACAGTGACCGAATGGTGAGGACATCTGTGGGGAGGACAGCCCCAGGTGGAAGGATGAGTCCAGGTGTTTGGAATGGGGGAAAATAGGACCTGCCCTTGGAGATGAAGAAGTGAGGCTGAGGAAGAGATGAGGAGGTGGAGGCTGGATGAGGGGGACCTGGCATGCAGAGGACAGGAGAGCAGTGCGGGAGGAAGTGGGTGGAGGCTTTGGCAAAATGAGCTGAGAAGGCGAAGATGGAGGGAGGCTGGAAGGAGCCCCAGCCAAGTCCCGCTCACAGGATGGGGCTAGCAGGGGAGGGAGGCCTGGCAGCCATGACTCACCAGTCTTGGCCACCACAGACTCGGGCCCCACACGCTGCCTGCCACGAAGCCCGTAGAGGTTCATCTTATACTTCCGGTCGGGATCCAGGCCGGGGACAGTAACCTCATTCTCATCCCCCGCAACAGGCACTGCCTGGGGCTGCCCCTGTGCATCCTTGTACTGGACCATGAATGAGTCGAAGGGGCCCTGGGCCACTGTCCATGAGAGACGCAAGGAGTCTGGGGTCACGCCGGTCACTGTCAGTTCCCCCAGGAGGGGCTGCTCCAGGAACTCAGGGCGGGGGGGCTCCTCTTTCCTCTCTGGAGCTGTAAACAAGGAGATCCAGCCAGGTGCTGAACTGGCAGCCTGGGACTGGGGCTTGGGGTTTCGACGGGATGTCACACCTATGGGGGGTGGGGGGTCACTAGTCCATTAATTCGAGTGCTAAACTTCTGGGAAGCCTGACACAGCCAGGGTATGACACACCTTCTGGGCCACGGGGAGCTGCTGCTTGGGATGGAAGGGGCCCAGCAGTGCGGGGGAGTCTGGCTGCCCCTCAGCCCTGGAGTGGGGCCGGGAAGCTGGAGTCAGCTGTCTTGCTGGGGGACCCCAGCTGGTTTTGGGCTGAAGGGAAGTGTGCATGGGGCTGAGAAGGGGTCACATGGGGGCTGAGGTGGCTGCTACTCACCAGTGGTGCCATCGGCCGTGAGGGGGCCATACCGCTTCTTGTTCGCAATTCCAAACAGAGTGAATCTGTACTTGTGGTCAGGGTCCAGTGAGGAGACAACAAATGAACGCTCGGGCCCTTCCACAGGTACCACCTGGGGCCGTCCATCCCTGTCCCTGTACTGGACCATGAAGGTGTCAAACTGGCCCTCAGGGACAGTCCAGGAGAGGTGCAGTGAATCTGGGGTAGGGTCTGTCACCCACAGGTTTCCCAGGTGGGGTGGAGTCCCTGGACTTGGGTCACTCTGAGGCACTAGGAAGAGTGGGTAGAGAGAAGGGAGAGACTTAGGTCCAAGGAGAATGGGGAAGCCAAATCCCACATAGGAATGCTGTGTGAGGCTGTGCAGGTTGTTCACTGCACAAAAGTGCATTTGCTGAGGGAGTACAGAGGGACTGAAATCCAGCCAGCACTCTGCTTGCCGAGCTGTGTGCCCTGGTGAGGAGTGGTGTCCACTTTAAGGAATGGGTGCCTTCTTTCAAACGGCATGGAAGCACTGCGTGGACTAGTGTGGCTCTGCCTCCAACCACAAACCAGAGCAGCAGGGAGCTTCAGAAAGAGGGGAGCCCAGCCAGGCCCTTTCACATCTCCATAGCCAGGGAAATCTTCCCAGTACAACCTCCACTGCTTCCAAGCCTAACTACTAGCTGGCTTCTTCTCCAAGAGAGGAGAGCACAATCCTTGAAGCGTTTTAATGTGGGACAGCCTCCCTCATCTATGCTGCAGGCCTCTCCTCCTCTTTGGGAACTTTGACCCATGGATGGACTCCCTCGCCTGCAGCACTGACCCTTCACTCCCCAGCAGCTGTGCCATCAGCATTTCAACAAGCTACTGTCACACCCCTCCTCACCCCCACTCTGTGTGCATCTCTCTCTAGCCTCCATCTTCCCTCTTTGCTCTCATTCCCAGCCCAGATTCCAGAAAGTGATGTCTACACTGATTGCAGCCATGTCCTCACCTCCACCACCCTCCCGATCCAGCTCCACCCCTCCACCAGGCAGCAGCTCTCATGCAGGCCAGGGGTGGCCTTGCCATTGCTAAATTCTGTGGACGCTCCGTAGCCCTTGAATCACTGTTCCGGAATCTGACAAGTCCAACCGCACCCTCCTTCCTGGAGTCCAGACAGCACCCTCCCTGGTTCTGCCCCTCCCTGCAAGTCACTCCGCAAGCTACCCTGTGGGCTCTTCTTCCTCTGCCTCCGCTGTGAGTGTAGGCTGTCGACAGGGTTCCAGTGGCCCTGTCTCTTCCCCAACCCCACACGACTACTCTGGTGCCTCAATTCTCCTGACCTATAAAGTAGGCATGCCTCCCAGGTGTGCTTTATGGGGTGTGATGATCCACTTAGAGAACATCTTGATCACAACTGACTCTCAATAAATGCACAAAAGGTATTTATGTAAGTGTCTCTTAGATATTGATCTAAGTTTATCTAAGGCGTTGTTCCCCACCTCTGCTGCTCCCTGCCTCAGGGAATGGGACTGTCTCATCCAGAACCCTGGGGGCTGCCTGGTACACCTTGCTTTCCTTCGCCTCCCCCATCCAGCCCCACTGCCACCATCCCAGCTGACCCATCATCATTTTTCTTTTTTTTGAGACAGGGTGTTGCTCTGTGCAGAGTGTGGATAGCACCCAGGCTGGAGTACAGTGGCACAATCATGGCTCTCTGCAGCCTCGGTCTCCTGGGCTCAAGCGATCCTCCCACCTCAAGCCTCTCAAGTAGCTGGGACTACAGGCACGCACCACCACGCCTGGCTAATATCTTTTGTTATAGTAGAGATGGGGGGTCTCACTATGTTGCCAGGTTGGTCTCAAACTCCTAGCCTCAAGCGATCCTCCTGCCTTGGCCTCCCAAGGTGCTGGGATTATAGGCAGGATCAACCCTGCTAGCCTTTACCAGCTCTTAACTCACTTCTCCAGCTAGTCTCAGCAGCCACCCGGTTATTTGCAAGATAAATATCTAGTCTCATCACTCTCCCACTTTACCCTTCAGAGGCCCTCTAGGGGCCTTCGAATGAGGCCCAAGCCCCTCAGCACAGCACAGGAAGCCCTGAGACCAGGCCCTTTGGCACCCCCCACATGCCCTGTTCTCCAGCCAGAGGAAACTGTAACAGTGATTCTCTTACTGGCCATGCTCTCCCCACCTTACTCACCGTGACTCCCTCAGGCTGCACTGAGCTTCTCAAACTCTTTGCCTGCCCCACCACTACTTTCCCTTCAGAATTCAGCTCATGCACCACTGCCTCCAGGAAGCCTTCCCGGAGCTCCCAAAGCAGGTTCCCAAAGCACTGAGAAAACCTCTTCAGGGCAGTACAGAGGGCAGGGTGTTACTGCTGTCACTCACAGATCTTGGCTTCAGCCACCAGCGGACCATGCCTCTTCTTGCCAACAAACCCATACAGGACAAATTTGTACTTGCGGCCAGGATCCAGGGAGGTGATGACGGCCGAGCGCTGGGGTCCTTCCACGGGCACCACCTGGGGCTGCCCGTCCCTGTCTTTGTACTGGATCACGAAGGAGTCAAACTCGCCCTCGGGGACCGTCCAGCGCAGGAGCAAGGAGTCGGAGGTCCTGTCTGTCACCGTCAGCTCACCCAGGCGTGGTGGGCCTGAGGACTTCCCAGGCTTCTCCTCATCCTTGTCTGGAGTTTGAGAGGCAAAAGCAAAGCATAGTGGACTCAACCGTTCTCTTGTCTGTGTCTCCTTCCCTCTCCCCTGCCCACCTCACTCCATCCTGGATAGATCCCTCCCCGGAAGACTCTATCTGCCCACCCCTCAGTGACTAGCTCTTCTGGAAGAGGGGCATTTCCCTCTCAATCTCTGCTTCTTCCCTTGTGACAGTTTCTCCATCCCTCACAAGGTCTTGGTCTCTCTGCACACCAGGATCTTTGCGGGGGTTTCAGGTCCCCCTGGTTCTGAATGAGAGTTTCAAGCCTCCCTGCTGCAGCATCAGAGCAGTCTGAAAGCTCCTCTGCCCACCTGAGCTGCTGTCTCTCTTACCACCCTCTCTTCCAGTGGTGAGCTTGACCTGGAGCTGGGGGATGAGTCAGCCACCCTGGTCCCACAGAGAGGAACAAAGAGGGGATGTGAAAGCCAGGTACCCCAGGACCTGTCTTTCACTGGTCCTGCAAACCTCATCCATGTCTGAAGTCCTGATGGCTGTGGAGCCCCCTGCCCCAAGGAGCCTTCACCCCCAGCAGAAACTGGCTGATGGGACCATGGACTGCTGTCCACTGCAAACCAGGCTCCCAGGGACGAGGTATTGGGGGCTGAGGGTCAGTGTCCAGAGGCCTTCCCATGCCCACCCTGAAAGATTTATAGGGCAGGGAAGGGCAGAGGAGCAACCGAAGAGTGGGGGCAGGGGACAGGGCAAGGAAAGCTGCAGGTGGAGGGCCAGGGACCTTCAGCCTCTCTCCTGGAATCTCTGTCCCACCCTCGGCCTTTTTACCTCTGCCTCTTTCCCCTCTCCCCACCCATCCTTATCATTGTTTTAAGATCCCCCTCGATCCATCTTCCTGCTGAACCTGCAATTCCTTTTCTCTCCTTTTCTCCTCTATCCAGCCCCAAACATCAGCCCTGCCCTTCACTGGCCCCTCAATATCCATCCTACCTCTGAAGTCCCAATAACCCCAGCTCCTCCCCCAATCTCAGGATATTGATCTGAGCAGAGTCCAAGATGTACCCATAATGCCTTGGTAGATGATGGGGTCAGAGGGCTTGCCCCCAGGAGGGACCCCATGAAGTGACAGCTCATACGGGGTTCCAGGAGGGGGTGGAGGCACCAGAGCCTGGCGGACGTCCCCTGGCAGCACTTCCTCATGTGCCCCCGGCCCCTCGGGCACCCGCATGCGCAGTTGGAAGTAGGCAAAGGTGTCAGGCTGGGCGGTCCAGACCACACGGAGGCGCCCTGTCTCATCTCTGCCCAGCACCCTCAACTCTCCCAGCTCCTGGGGGCGCTGCTGCAGGAGAGGAGCCTGGGCCCCTTGCGTCGTCGAGGGGCCTGAGGGAGGAGGCTCATCGGTAGTCCCCAAGAGGCCCAAGGGTGAGGACCCTGGGAAGGGGCAGGGTGAGAAAAAGAGGAGAGTCCAGTATGAGAACTAGAAAGGAATCCCCAGTCCCCAGGTTCTGCCCTCCAGCCTCTAAGAGCCTTGTTCTACTTCTACTTCTGGTTCCCTCACCTGGGCCACTCCCTCCTCCCAAAGGTCAGCCAATCCTCCAAACACCCCCATCTACCACATTCCTGAGCAGACGGGCCTGTGCTTCAGGCAGGTAATAGGTAAAATAAAGCCTGCTATCCTTCACCCCACAAGGCTTCCATGACCTCCAGCCCCCGGAGACTTCCATGTCCCTCCCCACATACATCCCCCCCACTGGGTGGTGGTCAGGTGGCTTCCATTAGTGCTGCAGTGAGAAGCCTGGAAGAAAGACAGTGGTGTTAGAGAGGGAGGATGCAAGAGGAGAGTGGGCAGTGGGAAGAGAGAGAGGGTGTGGGGGTGGACATCCAGGTCAGGTGGCATCTGGGCCCTATGGGGGAAGAAGAGGTCCACCACCCTCCCCACAGCAGCCACAGGGTGCCCTTTCCCCAAGCCCAGACATCGTTCCTGTGGGAGAGACCAGCATAAAGTGAGCCAGGGGGTCTGAAAAGCCAGCTTAAGAAGCAGTGGTTTCACCTCCCCAATATACAGTTGCTGCCTGATGGCACCCAGGCCACCCCCACGCAGTTCTGATGTGTCCCTTCAAGGTCAAGGCCAAATTGTGGAAAACAGTAACCACTAACCACAGTCTTCAGCCACTCTCACCACAGTGAGTCAGAACGGGAATCACTGTTTTCAATTCCCAGCCCACTCAAACTGCTCCAGTGAATCTTTGCAGGTGCCCCAACCACATCACCCTCTATTGCCTAAAATAACAATCCTGGAAGTGTCCCGGGAAACCCCAAAGAAGGCGCTGCCTTGACCTTAGGCATCCACAGGATGGATGCCAGGACCCTGGGGTGGGGACGTCTTCTAGGGACAATGGACTCGTGCTTTGTCCTGGGGGCCCCCTGGAGCCCCGGCCAGGTAGGGCCTGAAGGTAGAAGGGGGCAGTGGGGGGTGGCAGTGGGAGGAATTCATGAATGCAGGCTCCAACGGCAGGTGAGGCTGGACAAGGGATAGGTGTCCCGTGGCCCCAGCCCACACTACCTGTGGTGGTGATGAAGGCGTAGGACTTGGAGGTCTGCCCCGCCCGCACCCCGTGGACCTCCACGTGGTAGGTGGTGCCGGGCCTGAGGTCGGGCAGGCTGACGGTGCGCGTGGTGCCCGGCACAGTCAGCTCACCGCCGGGGCCCTCTGCAGGCGGCTGAGGCCGCCAGCGCAGCACCACGCGCTCGAACTGGCC